>NC_000004.12:81042593-81194108 GCF_000001405.40 Homo sapiens | reverse complement strand
TATTCTAAGAGATAGGCATGCAAAGGAAAGCGGGCACATTCTTTACTTGGTAGGGTAGAAGAGAAAATCTCTAGCTGGGTTTTTAAGGAGGAATAGATTATAGGAGACAAAGAGGCCTGGCACTGTGTGGTTTGGTGGGTCTGGGGTACCCTAAGTATGGGGAACCTAGACAGGAAAGGAGCATTACCATTTTGAAGTGGCCTCCTTCAATAAGTAAAGGTAGGTCTTAAATATACAGTTTTTGTTTGTTTGTTAATTTATTTTTGAGATGGAGTTTTGCTCTGTCTGTTGCCTAGGCTGGAGTGCCGTAGTGTGATCTCAGCTCACTGCAACCTCTGCCTTGTGGGCTCAAGCGATTCTCCTGCCTCTGCCTCCTGAGTAACTGGGATTACGGGCGCCCACCACCACACCCTGCTAATTTTTGTATTTTTAGTAGAGATGGGGTTGCACCATGTTGGCCAGGCTGGTCTAGAACTCCTGACCTCAGGTGATCTGCCCACCTTGGCCTCCCAAAGTGCTGGGATTACAGGTGTGAGCCATCGCGCCTGGCCAGCATAGAGTTTTTAGATTTGTTCTAACTCAGCGTTTAAGGTGTTGGTAACTTGCCTACTTATTGTGGTGATAGCTAACCCTCATGCAGTATATTTTATGTACCAGGCACAGTTCTTAGTGCTTTATTTTGTTAACTAATTTAATTCTCATAGAAATCTGTGACCTGTAGACTCTGTTTATTATTGTTTTACAGCTGAGGAAACTTAGGGGTTCAGTGACTTGCCTAAGGTTCCGCAGTTAGTAAGTGGCAGAAGTTGGAATCAAATCCTGGCATTCCAGCTCTACTAGATTTTGTGACCTTCACAAATATGCCTTACCATATGTTTTCTAATTGCATGTAGATATAATTAAGCTATGAAATGAAATACAAGTAAAGTTGCTGCCTCTTATGCTCACAAAAAATCCTTGATAGATAGGGATGAAGGAAGGTCAAGGTCACTGGCCCCAGCTTTGCACTGAGCCTTATTCAAAGAAGGTTGCAAGATACATGCTTTGACCTGGAAAAAACAAAAAACAAAAAACAAAAAACAACAGTGAGAACACGGACCTCTAATATATGAGCCCAGAGAAGAAAGATTGAGAGCCTAATACAACTGTAGGTGAACTTTGCCAAGTTAAACTTCCTGAAGCAACTTAGAGGATGAAAATTTATTGCTTCAAGAAATGTTGACTGTGTAAGTTGGGGGTATAAAGTGATTACAAAAGGATTACTGCTGCCACCTCAAATGGGCATGAATTCAACATCCAGCCCCATTGGAGGAACTTTGAACTGAGCAGAGGGTCTCGTCAGTGCCTCCTTGTTCTATGGTTTTCATAACTTTTCTCATTCCACTCTTTCCCCCAGAAAGACTTCTACCATTTCCAGCTACTATGACTACCATTTATTAAGTTACTGGCACGTTATTTAAGTTAATGTGCATAATATTCCTATGAAGTAGGCATAATTACTATGCCTATTCATAGATGAGAGATCTGAGATTCAGAAAGCCTAAGTTACTTGTCCAATATAATGAAGCAAGGAAGGTGCTGGCAGCATGTATGCTAAAATTGAAGCTAGGTAGTGCCAGACCTGATATTTCAACCTAAGATTTTCTGATTCCAAAGTCATACATATTTTTTAAAATGAATTTTTAATTGAAGTACACAAAAAGTAAAGTGAACATACCCATGTGACCACCAAAATGATCAGAAAATAAACATTACTAGCACCTTGGAAGCCCCTCATGCCCTCTTTCAATTTCTACCCATTATCTTCCCTTTTAAAGGGAGCTACTATTTGCACTACTTTTATCAGACATAGTACTTTTTACCTGTTGTTGAAATTTATTTAATGGAAGTACGGAGTGTGTACTCTAAAGACTCTGGCTTCTTTTGTTCCTAGAGTGAGATTCATTTATGTTATTGTATGTAACAGAGGTTCACTAATTGTCATTGCTATATAGTATTTCCTGTATGACTATATACAATTTAATCATTCTATGATTTATAGGCATTTGGTTAATTCTGGTATTTAGCATTTATGAATAATGCTGCCATGAACATTTTTGTACATGTCTTGTATATGAATTATGATGGGTATAAACCTAGGAGTGAAGTTACTGGGTAGTACATTATATCCAAGTTTAATATAGATGGCCAAATAACTTTCCAAAATGATTAAACAAATATATACTCCCACCAACACATATGTGTATTAAATGACTTCATGCATTCAACAGCATTCAGTCAGTCTTTTTCATTTTGGCCATTCTGCTGGACATTTTGTGGTGTCTCAGTGTCCTTTTAGTTTTCTTTTCCTTGATAATTAACAATGGTGAGCCCTTTTCGATGTGTATATTTTCTGTTGAGGTCTGTTTATCTCCCATAGCTCTGTAGTACAACTGTTGTCATAAATCAGGAATCTATGAATGTGTAGGTCAATTTTTGAATTTTCTTTTCTGTCCCAGAATTCTTTTTTTATTTTTATTATTAATATTATCCTTTAAGTTCTGGGATACACGTGCAGAAGGTGCAGGTTTGTTACATAGGTATACACGTGCCATGCTGGTTTTGCTGCACCCATCAACCCCTCATCTACATTAGGTATTTCTCCTAATACTATCCCTTCTCCAGCCCCCAACCCCCTGACAGGCCCCAGTGTATGATGTTCCCCTCCCTGAGTCCATGTGCTCTCATTGTTCATCTCCCACTTATGAGTGAGAACATGTGGTGTTTTGTTTTCTGTTCCTGTGTTAGTTTGCTGAGAATGATGGTTTCCAGCTTCATCCATGTCCCTCCAAGGGACATGAACTCATCCTTTTTTATGGCTGCATAGTATTCCGTGGTGTATATGTGCCACATTTTCTTTATCCAGTTTATCACTGATGGGCATTTGGATTGGTTCCAAGTCTTTGCTATTGCTAACAGTGCTGCAATAAACATACGTGTGTGTGTATCTTTATAGTAGAATGATTTATAATCCTGTGGGTATATACCAAGTAATGGGTGTGCTGGGTCAAATGGTATTTCTGGTTCTAGATCCTTGAGGAATCGCCACACTGTCTTCCACAATGGTTGAATTAATTTACACTCCCACCAACAGTGTAGAAGTGTTCCTGTTTCTCCACATCCTCTCCAGCATCTGTTGTTTCCTGACTTTTTAATGATCACCATTCTACCTGGCATGAGATGGCATCTCATTGTGGTTTTGATTTGCATTTTTCTAATGACCAGTGATGTTGAGCTTTTTTTCATGTCTGTTGGCTGCATAAATGTCTTCTTTTCAGAAGTGTCTATTCATATTCTTCACCCACTTTTTGATGGAGTTATTTTTTTTCTCGTAGATTTGTTTCAGTTATTTGGGGATTCTGGATATTAGCCCTTTGTCAAATAGAAAGATTGCAAACTTTTTCTCCCATTCTGTAGGTTGCCTGTTCATTCTGATGACATTTTCTTTTGCTGTGCAGAAGCTCTTTAGTTTAATTAGATCCCATTTGTCAATTTTGGCTTTTGTTACCATTGCTTTTGGTGTTTTAGTCATGAAGTCTTTGCCCATGCCTATGTCCTGAATGGGGTATTGCCTCTTCTAGGGTTTTTATGGTTTTAGGTCTTATATTTAAGTCTTTAATGCATCTTGAGTTACTTTTTGTATAAGTTTTAAGGAAGGGGTCCAGTTTCAGTTTTCTGCATATGGCTAGCCAGTTTTCCCAACACCATTTATTAAGTAGGGAATCCTTTCTTGATTGCTTGTTTGTGTCAAAGATCAGATTGCTTGTTTGTCAAAGATCAGATGGTTGTAGATGTGTGGCACTATTTCTGAGGCCTCTGTTCTGTTCCATTGGTCTACATATCTGTTTTGGTACCAGTACCATGCTGTTTTGGTTACTATAGCCATGTCCAATAGTTTGAAGTCAGGTAGCATGATGCCTCCAGTTTTGTTCTTTTTGCTTAGGATTGTCTTGGCTATCCCGGCTCTTTTTTGGTTTCATATGAAATTTAAAGTAGGTTTTTCTAATTCTGTGATGGAAATCAATGGTAGCTTGATGGGGATAGCATTGAATCTATAAATTACTTTGGGCAGTATGGCCATTTTCACAATACTGATTCTTCCTATCCATAAGCATGGAATGTTTTTCCATTTGTTTGTGTTCTCTCTTATTTCCTTGCAGAGTGGTTTGTAGTTCTCCATGAAGAGGTCCTTCACATCCCTTGTAAGTTGTATTCCTTGGTATTTTATTCTCTTTGTAGCAATTGTGAATGGGAGTTCACTCATGATTTGGCTCTCTGTCTGTTTTTTTTCTTTTTATTATTATTCTTATTATACTTTAAGTTTTAGGGTACATGTGCACAACGTGCAGGTTAGTTACATATGTATACATGTGCCAGGCTGGTGTGCTGCACCCATTAACTCGTCATTTAGCATTAGGTATATCTCCTAAAGCTATCCCTCCCCACTCCCTCTACCCCACAACAGTCCCCAGAGTGTGATGTTCCCCTTCCTGTGTCCATGTGTTCTCATTGTTCAATTCCCACCTATGAGTGAGAATACGCGGTGTTTGGTTTTTTGTTCTTGCGATAGTTTACTGAGAATGATGATTTCCAGTTTCATCCATGTCCCTACAAAGGACATGAACTCATCATTTTTTATGGCTGCATAGTATTCCATGGTGTATATGTGCCACATTTTCTTTTTTTTTGTGTGTGTTGACATTTTTATTATTTCTGAAGATGTAGCAATAATAAAATAAGACAAAAAGATTAAATAAGACAAAATCTTTCTCTTCAGAAAGAACTCATTCTAGGGATGGGGCCAGAACATACAGAAACGACATTTTAAATGCTTTATGCTACAGGATAAAAATTTAGATGGCAAAACAATAAGACAGATATGTAATTAGAAATAGAAGTATTTGAATTGTCACTTTAAGGTAAAAACCTGTATTTTTCCTTGGTGCTCTACTGAAACATTGTGCAATTGCTAGCTTCTTTTTTTTTTTTTTTTTTTTTTTTTTATTATTTTTTTTAATCTTTTTTTTTTCTTTTTTTATTATTATTATTATACTTTAAGTTTTAGGGTACATGTGCACATTGTGCAGGTTAGTTACATATGTATACATGTGCCATGCTGGTGCGCTGCACCCACTAACGTGTCATCTAGCATTAGGTATATCTCCCAATGCTATCCCTCCCCCCTCCCCCGACCCCACCACAGTCCCCAGAGTGTGATATTCCCCTTCCTGTGTCCATGTGATCTCATTGTTCAATTCCCACCTATGAGTGAGAATATGCGGTGTTTCGTTTTTTGTTCTTGCGATAGTTTACTGAGAATGATGGTTTCCAATTTCATCCATGTCCCTACAAAGGACATGAACTCATCATTTTTTATGGCTGCATAGTATTCCATGGTGTATATGTGCCACATTTTCTTAATCCAGTCTATCATTGTTGGACATTTGGGTTGGTTCCACGTCTTTGCTATTGTGAATAGTGCCGCAATAAACATACATGTGCATGTGTCTTTATAGCAGCATGATTTATAGTCCTTTGGGTATATACCCAGTAATGGGATGGCTGGGTCAAATGGTATTTCTAGTTCTAGATCCCTAAGGAATCACCACACTGACTTCCACAGGGGTTGAACTAGTTTACAGTCCCACCAACAGTGTCAAAGTGTTCCTATTTCTCCACATCCTCTCCAGCACCTGTTGTTTCCTGACTTTTTAATGATTGCCATTCTAACTGATGTGAGATGGTATCTCATTGTGGTTTTGATTTGCATTTCTCTGATGGCCAGTGATGGTGAGCATTTTTTCATGTGTTTTTTGGCTGCATAAATGTCTTCTTTTGAGAAGTGTCTGTTCATGTCCTTCACCCACTGTTTGATGGGGTTGTTTGTTTTTTTCTTGTAAATTTGTTTGAGTTCATTGTAGATTCTGGAAATTAGCCCTTTGTCAGATGAGTAGGTTGCAAAAATTTTCTCCCATTTTGTAGGTTGCCTGTTCACTCTGATGGTAGTTTCTTTTGCTATGCAGAAGCTCTTTAGTTTAATGAGATCCCATTTATCAATTTTGGCTTTTGTTGCCATTGCTTTTGGTGTTTTAGACATGAAGTCCTTGCCCATGCCTATGTCCTGAATGGTAATGCCTAGGTTTTCTTCTAGGGTTTTTATGGTTTTAGGTCTAACGTTTAAGT
The DNA here is from genome assembly GCF_000001405.40 of Homo sapiens. Classification (NCBI taxonomy): domain Eukaryota; kingdom Metazoa; phylum Chordata; class Mammalia; order Primates; family Hominidae; genus Homo; species Homo sapiens. Next base: position 81,187,886 of record NC_000004.12, on the reverse strand, counting down.
CTTTAATCCATCTTGAATTGATTTTTGTATAAGGTGTAAGGAAGGGATCCAGTTCTGTTTGTCTGTTATTGGTGTATAGGAATGCTTGTGATTTTTGCACATTGATTTAGGATCCTGAGATTTGATGAAGTTGCTTATCAGCTTAAGGTGATTTTGGGCTGAGACGATGGGGTTTGCGAAATATACAATCATGTCATCTGCAAACAGAGACAATTTGACTTCCTCTTTTCCTATTTGAATACCCTTTATTTTTTTTCTCTTGCCTGATTGCCCTGGCCAGAACTTCCAATACTATGTTGAATAGGAGTGGTGAGAGGACAGCCTTGACTTGTACCAGATTTTAAAGGGAATGCTTCCAGATTTTGCCCATTCAGTATGATATTAGCTGTGGGTTTGTCATAAATAGCTCTTATTATTCTGAGATACGCTCGTAGTTCATTGAGAGTTTTTAGCACATAGGGGTGTTGAATTTTGTTGAAGTCCTTTTCTGCATCTATTGAGATAATCATGTGGTTTTTGTCATTGGTTCTGTTTATGTGATGGATTACATTTTTTGATTTGCATATGTTGAACCAGCCTTGCATCCCAAGGATGAAGCCGACTTTATCCTAGTGGATAAGCTTTTTGATGTGCTGCTGGATTCGGTTTCCCAGTATTTTATTGAGGATTTTTGCATCAATGTTCATTGGGGATATTGGCCTGAAATTTTCTTTTTTTGTTGTGTCTCTGCCAGGTTTTGGTATCAGGATGATGCTGGCCTCATAAAATGAGTTAGGGAGGAGTCCCTCTTTTTCTATTGTTTGGAATAGTTTCAGAAGGAATGGTATCAGCTCCTCTTTGTATATCTGGTAGAATTTCGCTGTGAATCTGTCTGGTTTTGGGCTTTTTTTGATTGGTAGGCTATTAATTACTGCCTCAATTTCTGAACTTGTTATTGGTCTGTTGAGGCATTTGACTTGTTCCTGGTCTAATCTTGGGAGGGTTTATGTGTCCAGGTATTTATCCATTTCTTCTAGATTTTCTAGTTTATTTGAGTAGAGGTGTTTATAGTATTCTCTGATGGTAGTTTGTATTTATGTGGGATCAGTGTTGATATCCCCTTTATCGTTTGTTATTGTGTCTGTTGGACTCTTCTCTCTTTTCTTCTTTATTAGTCTGGCTAGGGGTCTATCTATTTTGTTAATCTTTTCCAAAAACCAGCTTCTGGATTCATTGATTTTTTTTGAAGGGTTTTTCATGTCTCTTTCTCCTTCAGTTCTGTTCTGATCTTAGTTATTTCTTGTCTTCTGCTAGCTTTTGAGTTTGTTTGCTCTTGCTTCTCTAGATCTTTTAATTGTGATGTTAGGGTGTCAATTTTAGATCTTTCCCACTTTCTCCTGTGGGCATTGAGTGGTATAAATTTCCCTCTAAACACTGCTTTAGCTGTGTCCCAGAAATTCTGGTACATTGTGTCTTTGTTCTCATTGGTTTCAAAGAACTTATTTATTTCTGCCTTAATTTTGTTATTTACCCAGTAGTCATTCAGGAGCAGGTTGTTCAGTTTCCATATAGTTGTGCAGTTTTGAGTGAGTTTCTTAATCTTGAGTTCTAATTTCATTGCACTGTGGTCTGAGAGTTTGTTTTTTATGATTTCCATTCTTTTGCATTTGCTGAGGAGTGTTTTATTTCCAATTATGTGGTCGATTTTAGAATAAGTGTGGTGTGGCGCTGAGAAGAATGTATATTCTGTTGATTTGGGGTGGAGAGTTCTGTAGGGATCTGTTAGGTCTGCTTGGTCCAGAGCTGAATCAAGTCCTGAATATCCTTGTTATTTTTCTGTCTTGTTGATCTGTCTAATATTGACAGTGGGGCGTTGAAGTCTCCCGCTACTATTGTGTGGGAGGCTAAGTCTCTTTGTAGGTTTCTAATAACTTGCTTTATTGATCTGCGTGCTCCTTTATTGGGTGCATATGTATTTAGGATAATTAGCTCTTCTTGTTGCATTGATTCCTTTACCATTATGTAATGCTCTTCTTTGTCTTTTTTGATCTTTGTAGGTTTAAAGTCTGTTTTATCAGAGACTATGATTGCAACTTTTGCTTTTTGTTGCTTTCCATTTGCTTGGTAAATATTCCACCATCCCTTTTTTTGAGCCTGTGTTTGTGTTTGCATGTGAGATGGATCTCCTGAACACAGCACCCCGAGGGGTCTTGACTCTATCCAGTTTGCCAAGTCTGTGTCTTTTAAGTGGGGCATTTAGCCCATTTACATTTAAGGTTAATATTATTATGTGTAAATTTGATCCAGTCATGATGCTAGCTGGTTATTTTGCCCATTAGTTGATGTGGTTTCTTCATAGTGTTGATGGTCTTTACAATTTGGTATGTTTTTGCAGTGGCTGGTACTGGTTTCTCCTTTCCATATTTAGTGCTTCCTTCAGGAGCTCTTGTAAGGCAGGCCTGGTGGTGACAAAATCTCTCAGCATTTGCTTGTTTGTAAAGGATTTTATTTCTCCTTTGCTTATAAAGCTTAGTTTGGCTGGATATGAAAGTCTGGGTTGAAAATTCTTTTCTTTAAGAATGTTGAATATTGGCCCCCACTCTCTACTGGCTTGTACGGTTTCTACACAGAGATCCACTGTTAGTCTGATGGGCTTCTCTTTGTGAGTAACCCGACCTTTCTCTCTGGCTGCCCTTAACATTTTTTCTCCATTTCAACCTTGGTGAATCTGATGATTATGTTTCTTGGGGTTGCTCTTCTTGAGGACTATCTTTGTGGTGTTCTCTATATTTCCTGAATTTGATTGTTGCCCTGTCTTGCTAGGTTGGGGAAGTTCTCCTGGATAATATCCTGCAGAGTGTTTTCCAACTTGGTTCCATTCTCCCCATCACTTTCAGGTATACCACTCAAATGTAAGTTTGGTCTTTTCACATATTAGGCTTTGTTCATTCCTTTTCATTCTTTTTTCTCTTACTTTGTATTCACTCTTTATTTCATTAAGTTGATCTTCAATCTCTGATATCCTTTCTTTCGCTTGATTGATTCAACTATCAATACTTGTATATGCTTCTCAAAGTTCTCTTGCTGTGTTTTTAAGCTTCATCAGGTCATTTATGTTCTTCTCTAAACTGGTTATTCTAGTTAGCAATTCCTCTAACCCTTTTTCAACATTCTTAGTTTCCTTGCATTGGGTTAGAACATGCTCCCTTATCTCAGAGGATTTTGTTATTACCCTCCTTCTGAAGCCTACTTCTGTCAATTCATCAAACTCATTTTCTGTCCAGGTTTGTCCCCCTGGCTGGTGAGGAGCTGTGGTCCTTTGGAGGGGAGGCATTCTGGTTTTTGGAATTTTCAGCCTTTTTGTACTGGTTTTTCCTCATCTTCATGGATTTATCTACTTTGGTCTTTGATGTTGGTGACCTTCAGATGGGGTTTCTGTGTGGGCATCCATTTTGTTGATGTTGATGCTATTCCTTTCTGTTTGTTAGTTTTCCTTCTAATAGGCCCCTCTGCTGCAGGTCTGCTGGAGTTTGCTGGAAGTCCACTCCAGATCCTGTTTGCATGGGTATCACCAGCAGAGTCTACAGAACAGCAAAGATTGCTGCCTGTTCTTCTTCTGGAAGCTTCATCCCAGAGGGGTACCTGACAGATGCCAGCTGGAGCTCTCCTGTATGAGGTGTCTGTCGACCCCTGCTGGGAGGTGTCTCCCAGTCAGTACGCATGGCAGTTCAGGGACCCACTTGAGGAGGCAGTCTGTCCCTTAGCAGAGCTCGAGCTCTGTGCTGGGAGATACGCTGCTCTCTTCAGAGCCAGCAGGCAGGATCATTTAAGTCTGCTGAAGCTGCACTTACTGCTGCCCTTTCCCCCAGGTGCTCTGTTCCAGGGAGATGGGAGTTTTATCTATTAACCCCTTCCTGGGGCTGCTGCCTTTCTCTCAGAGATGCTCTGCCCAGAGAGGGGGAATCTAGAGAGGCAGTCAGGCCGCAGCATCTTTGCAGAGCTGTGGTGGGCTCCACCTAGTTTGAACTTCCCTGCAGCTTTGTTTTCACTATGAGGGGAAAACCGCCTACTGAAGCCTTAATAATGGCAGACACCCCTTCCCCCACTAAGCTCGAGTGTTCCAGGTTGACTTCAGACTGCTGTACTGGCAGTGAGAATTTCAAGCTAGTGGATCTTAGCTTGCTGGTCTCTGTGGGGGTGGGATCCGCTGAGCTAGACTGCTTGGCTCCCTGGCTTCAGCCCCCTTTTCAGGGGAGTGAACGATTCTGTCTTTCTGGCATTCCAGGCACCACGGGGGTATGAAAAAAAAAAATTCCTGCAGCTAGCTCAGTGTCTGTCCAAATGGCCGCCCAGTTTTGTGCTTGAAACCCAGGGCCCTGGTGTCATAGGCACCCAAGGGAATCTCCTGGTCTGCAGGTTGTGAAGACCATGGGAAAAGCGTACTATCTGGGCCTGAGTACACCATTCCTCATGGTGCAGTCCCTCATGGCTTCCCTTGGCTAGGGGAGGGAGTTCCTCGACCCCTTGTCCTTCTGGGTGAGGCGATGCCTCACCCTGCTCAGCTTGCCCTCCGTGGGCTGCACCCACTCTCTAACCAGTCCCAGTGAGATGAGCTGGGTACCTCAGCTGGAAATGTAGAGATCACTCACCTTCTGCATTGATCTCGCTGGAAGCTGCAGACTGGAGCTGTTCCTATTTGGCCATCTTGCCAGCCACTCCCCAAAAGTCTTTTTATCCATTGTTGTGCCAGTAGTATATATTCTCTTAATTATTTTCATTCATCATAATTTTTGATATCCATTACTTTAAGTGTTGTAATTTTTATTCTTCAATGTTGTGAAGCTAGTCTTGGGCCTTTTTATGACTATAAGAATTTAATATCAGCTTCTCAATTTTCATAAATTTTTAAATTTAGAGCATTGATTGGGATTTCATTGAACCTGATCAACCTGAATATAATTAACATAATTAAAAATATAGTCTTCTAATCTATGACCATGGTATATTCCTCCATTTAGTTAGGTTTTCTCTCATTCTTTTAATAATATTTTGTATTCTTCTGTGTAGACATCTTACTTATCTTTGTTAGATATAATCCTTCATAGTTGATACTGTTTTGAATTATTTAAAATTTTTTAATGTTAATTGTTTAATACTAGAATATAGAAATACAATTAAATTTGTATATTGACTTTATATCAAGTGAGATTGTTGAAATCACCTGTTGATATTGGTGGTTTACCTGTACTTTCTTTTGAATTTTTCACATACATAATCATATCTTTTGGAAAGAATACAGTTTACTTTTTTCTTTTCCTATGTTTACATATTTTATTTTTGTTCTTTTTGTTTCTTTTCTTTCTCCCTTTATTAAATTTGCTCAGACTTCTGATTCAGGATTAAAGTGTCCCATTTCTGATGTCTGTAGGAAAGCTTTCAATGTTTCACGATATAATATGATGTGTTTTTGTTTTTGTTTGTTTTATAGATGTATTTTATCAGATTAAGGAGATTTTCCTCTATACTTAATTTGCCAAAAGTATTTCTTAATTCAAAAATTATTACAGGTGTTTAATTTTACCAAATACTCTTTCTGCATCCCATTATATTTGCTACATTTTTCTCCTTTATTCTTTTCATGTTGATAATTATGTTAATGTTCAATCTAATCTAGAATATTTATTTTTTATACTTTGTTTTGTTTTTTACTTTTGTCCCTCTATTCATTAGGGATATTATATTTTATTTTTCTTTTTTGTAGTATAACTCCTTATCAGGCTATTCTGGCACTATAAAATGAATCGGGAAAAATTCGTCTTTCCTGTTTTCTGGAAAATATTACATAAATTTAATATTAATTTTCCTTTAAATATCTATAAGGCTTAATAATAAGGTCATCTGGGTTTAGACTTTTTTGGGTGGGATAGTTTTTATATTTGATTTAGTTTCTTTATTGCTAATCAGATTTTCTATTTCCTCTTGGCTCAGGTTTGGTAGTTTATTTTTCTAGAAATTTTTTTCATTTCATCACAATTTTCCATACTTGATGTTTTTGAAACTATTTTAAATGATGTCATTTTAAAAATTTTATTTTGAATTTTTTGATGCTGGACTACATAGTATGAACAACTATTTTGGCAAGAATGCAGTTTAATTTTTAACTATAAAGTTGTTCATACTACTCATTTCTTTTTTTATAACTGTAATATCCATAGTGATGTCTTCTTCTTATTTCTAGTAATAGTAATTATACCTCCTCCCTCTCTTACTCAAGTCCTGTCTTGTTGTGAATTATCATTTTATTATTTTTTTCAAAGAAATTATTTTGGGCTGTGTTGATTCTCTTCATTATATTTCTTTTTTCCTGTTTTATTATTTTCTGCTGTCATTGTGTTATTTTCTTCCTTCCTTTTTTGAGTTCAACTTACTTTTTCTAGTCTTTTGAGATGGACGCTTAGGACGCTCATTTATAATATTTATTTTATTATATAATTTGACATCATAAATTTTCTTCTATGCATCATTTTAACTGCATCTTACAAGTTTTATGTCATATTTTATTATTTATTTCAAAATATGATTTGGCTTTTCTTATAACTTAATTTTTGACCAATGGGTTGTTTAGAAATGTATTGTTCAATTCTCAAACATTTGAGGATTTTATGATTTTTCTGTTATTAATTTCTAGCTTTATTCTATTAATACTATATTTAAAGAATATACTCTGTATTACTTCAGTCTTATGAAATGTGTTGAAATGATTTGTGGTTTGCCATGTGGTCAGTTTTTATGATTGTTTAATGTGCACTAGAAATGAATGTGTATCTGCATGTTCTCACTCATAGGTGGGACTTGAACATTGAGAACACATGGACACAGGAAGGGGAACATCACACTCCGGGGACTGCTGTGGGGTGGGGGGAGGGGGGAGGGATAGCTAGGAGATATACCTAATGCTAAATGATGAGTTAATTAGGGTGCAGCACACCAACATGGCACATGTATACATATGTAACAAACCTGCACATTGTGCACATGTACCCTAAAACTTAAAGTACAATAATAATAATAAAAAAAGTAATGAATGTGTATTCTGAATTTATTGAAGAGATATTTAAAATATCAGTGAGTTCAAGAGATTCAATAAAGTTCAATAATCAAATATTCAGATCTATTTACTAATTTTTGTTGGCTTATTCTATTAATTAGAGAGATGTGTTAAAATCTCCCAGAATCAATGTGGGACACTTGTCTATTTTTTCTTTTAATTTTGCCAATTTTGCTCCATATATTTTGATACTGTCATATTAAGTGGATACATATTTGGAATATTTAGATATTCTTGATGATATAAATATGAAATATTCCTCTGTATTTCTAGAAATATGTTTTTTATTAAGGTCTACTTTCCTGTATCAGAGAAAAATTTATTTTTAATTGATGTTTACATAGTATATCTTTTTCCACTTTTTTATTTTCAGCCTTTCCATACATTATCTTTAAGGCATGTATCTTATTAGCAATATACACTTGGTATTTCCTCTTAAATTTTATTTCATTTGTCTGACAAGCTTGTCTTTTAATTGGGGTATTTGGTATATTTACCTCCAATGTAAATAAAAAATATTTGGGCTTAAATCTAATATCTAATATTATTCAATTTCTCTTTTTGTTTGCCATGTTTTGAGGATTAATGAAGTATATATTTTAATTCTATTTTATCCTTGTTAGCTTTCATTCATTCATTTATTTATTTATTTAATTTTATTTTTTTGAGATGGAGTTTCACTCTTGTTGCCCAGGCTGGAGTGCAATGGTGCGATCTCAGCTCACTGCAACCTCCGACTCCCGGGTTCAAGCAATTCTCCTGCCTCAGCCTCCCGAGTAGCTGGGATTACAGGTGGCTGCTACCATGCCTGGCTAATTTTTGTGTTTTTAGTAGAGATGGGGTTGGCCAAGCTGGTCTCAAACTCCTGACCTCAGGTGATCCATTTGCCTTCAGCCTCCTAAAGTGCTGGGATTACAAGCATGAGCTACTGCGCCCGGCCTATCCTTGTTAGCTTTCTAGTTAAACATTCTTTGACTGATCTTGTAGGCCTCACTATAAATTATGGCATGCATCCTTAACTTACTAAACTTTTAACATAGATTAGTACTTTTATCAATTGCTGGACCTTAAATTGTGTTAACTCCATTTATTGTTCCCTCCCCTGCAGTTTTGGCTGTTTTCTACATTTATTTCTTACATATTTTACACCGCACAAGGTATTATTATTGCTTTTTAATAAATACAAGCTTTCTTTAATCACCCATAGATTTATATTTTCCATTGCTCTTTCTTCCTTCTAACATCTGCCAGTTTCCATCTGAGATCATATTTCTTCTGTCTGGAGCTCTTCACGGTTACAAGTCTGTTGCCAATGGAAAAACATTTTGAAAATATCTTCTTTTTGCCTTCATTTTTGAAGGTGATTTTCACTGGGTAAAGATATTGAAATAGGCTCTTTGAAGCGCTTTTAAGATATGCTACTGTGTTCTGGCTTCTGTTATTTCTGTTGAAGAGTAAGTTAGTCATTTGAAAGTAATGCCTTTTTTTTCTAGCTGCTTTTTAGAGTTTTCTCATTGTATTTGGTTTTTCAGCAATTTGACTATGGTAGGCCTAGATATGGTTTTCTTTGTATTTATTTTATGCAGAGTTTATAATGCATCTTGTCTGTGCTTGACATTTTTTAATTGATTTAAGCTAACTCTTTTTTCTTTTCTTTTTTTTTTTGTTTGTTTTTGGGACAGAGTCTCACTCTGCTGCCAGGCTGGAGTGCAAGTGGCACAATCTCGGCTCACTGCAACCTCTGCCTCCCGGGTTCAAGCAATTCTCCTGCCTCAGCCTCCAAAGTAGCTGGGACTACAGGCGCCTGCCACCACGACCAGCTATTTTTTGTATTTTTAGTAGAGATGGAGTTTCACCATATTGGCCAGGATGGTCTCTATCTCTTGACTTTGTAATCTGCCCACCTCAGCCTCCCAGAGTACTGAGATTACAGGCGTGAGGCACTGCACTCTGCCTGATTTAAGCTAACTCTTAAATATGATTCCTTCATATATTGTTTCAGCTCAATTATTTCTCTTTCTTCAGGGTCCCAGATTATACGTATGTTCAACTTCTCTATTATGCCTCATATATCTCTTATGTTTTGATTTTTAGTTTTTTGTTTTGCTTTGTTTTGCATCCTAGATTCTCTCCAATCTTCTATAAATATATTCTAGCTGCCTATAATTAGTTTCTAATTATTATCAGCTGCATTTTATCGGATTGCAAACTGATCTTTTGCGTGTCAAGCTTCAGATATTGTGTTTTTCAGTTTTAGAATTTCCATTTGATTTCTTTAAATATTCACGTTTTCTACTGACATCTCCATTTGTCCTGAAAGCATATTGCTTACAGTTAAAGTTGTACCTGATAGCTGCAATATATTGATCTACTATGGTTCTGTTTCTATTGTCTTTTTTTCTCTCTGTCCTTAGTCATTTGGGCTTTTCTCTTAGTATGCCTGGTAACTTCTGATGTCATGACAAATATTTCCTATTTAAAAAACTGTGGAGAAAATTTGAGTGTCTAGATTTTATGAACTTCCAATGGAGAATGCTTACTTTTACTTCTGGCAGGCAGTTAAGCTAGTGGCTGATAGTTGTAACCAAAATAGGGTTTTGTTGGTTTGGTAGCTGGTTTTCAGTGTTTTTGAGAGCTAGCCTATTTTGCTTTGTTCTTACTCCTAGGCTGCAGCCCTTCAGGTGTCCCATCTGAAATCCTGGGTGGTTACCAGGACCCCAGGTAGACACCCAGGATTTCAGATGGGACACCTGAAGGGCTGCAGCCTAGGAGTAAGAACTAAGCATCCTATCATCCCACTTCATGGTGTGCTTTAAACCTGAACTTTTGTCTTTGAGATAGCCAAGACTGTGTTCAGTAGCTGCCTGAAAAGCAGCAACTGCCTTGTAGGAAATGCTGAGGAGACTGTCAGCCTCATGTTCTCTTGTAGATCATGACTCTAAGTTGTTGCTATGTTGATAGATCTTCAATACTTCCAATAGATTATCTATCTATCTAATCAGCTTTTATAGTTGTTTTGTGGGAGCAGGAAGAGTTATGCTGGTAATAGCTGGTCTGTCATAGTTGTAGAAAGAGTTGCAAAGTTTATATTCTTTTTTTTGAGATGGAGTCTTGCTCTGCCACTCAGGCTGGAGTGCAGTGGCGCGAGCTCGGCTCACTACAACTTCCGCCTTCTGGGTTCACGCCATTCTCCTGCCTCAGCCTCCACAGCTGGGACTACAGGCACCCACCACCATGCCCGGCTAATTTTTTTGTATTAGTAGAGACGGGGTTTCACTGTGTTAGCCAGGATGGTCTCGATCTCCTGACCTCGTGATCTGCCCGCCTCGGCCTCCCAAAGTGCTGGGATTACAGGCGTGAGCCACCGCGCCTGGCCGAAACTTACCAGATTTTTAAAATAAGTTGTTTTAAATTTATAATCTACTTTTGAGAAAAATTCATAGAGATAATTTCACTAATTAGAGACTATTACAATATGTCTATACACCAAGTTATAAAAGTTTGGAAACTTTTTGAGGCCATGGGTCATGTTTAATTAATTTTTATGTCCTAAGTAAGTGCTTAATGACATTTTAAAAGCAGAATAGATATGAATATAAGTACTCTAGGAATTCACAGGAGAAAGAAAGGATGGTGTAAACTGCAGCATCCATTTAAAATCATCCAATTTAAAATCATGAGGGGTTTCTTGGTGAATGTATAAGGTTTGGAAAGGTTGAGGGGTAAAAAGTAAGTTAAGTCACAAAAGAAAACATGTTCCATCTCTTAAGGCAAAGATATAGGGGATGATAAGGATACCAGCTTATCTATAATAAAAAATTTGTTTTAGGGAGTAAGTACTAGATGGATAGATTGGAGCCATGTTGTAGAAAATAGTAAATACTGGGTTGTAGGATATTGATTTTTTTTTTCTATGGACAAAAGAGTCTTTTTGAGTACTTCCATGGAATGTTGGATGTTGAATGAATGAAGTTAAACCAAAAAGAAATGAAGAACCAAAAGAAAGAAGTTAAACCAAAAAAGAAAGAAATAAAGAGGACATTGAAGCTCCAGAAATACTGGTTTAAAGAGATTTGTTTACAGCAAGACTTCTTTGAAGTGTGCATTTTAAATTTCCAAAGTTGCTTAAACTTAGCACACTTTTGCTTATAAAGAAACAGTGTTCTTGGAACATACTTTGGAAAATTAGTATATGTGGGCATTGAGGAAACACTGACTGGAATATTATACTAACATATAAAGTCTGCGAAAGCTGGAGCTTCTTGATATTGTTCACAGTTCTACCAGTTGTACTAAGAGAATTACCTAGCAAAGATATGTTCTCAATATATATTAAGTGAGTTGGCTTTAGTGGATAAAAATGAATTGGATGAACATGAAATCCATTTTTAAATTTTTTTTTAGCAAGAATAATCTGATGATATAATACAGTTGGATTTTAGGGAAAATCGGCTAGAAGCTTAAGTCCAAGAAAATAAAATTTTAAAGTTGTCCAGACCTAAGATTTGTTCTTGGACTGTGGTGCCATCCTTGAAAATGGGAAATAAAATGGATAACAGTGATACTTTTTAAAACAAATTGATACGATTTAGTAATAGATTAGATGGAACTTCTCAAGGCACTCAAATAATTTGAATAGCTTTGAGTCACTGTAGGGAAGAAGAAATTTCTTTGTACAAGACTTCATTCTGTTTTCTTCATGTAGCCTAAAGATATGATGGATAGAGTCATGAAAGAATTATTTAATTTCATGAAGTCTTACCTTTTGTTTGAAAACTTTTTGTGTAGAAAAAGATCACCAGCTTCCAAACAGTAATTGGGAGAGAGTTTGAATGAAAGATACAGAAAAAAGTACTTAAAAAATCATGCTGAGTTTTATGATCGAGAGTAAATATATTGTGCAGATCTGACTTAGCCCATAGAGCATCTTTTCTTGCAGCACAATAATTTTATGATATCTACATATGAATAATTTTCATTAAAACATTTTAAATTTATGTTAATGAAGATTGGGTAGCTATCTTGAGCTACATCTTTTCCAAAATAAAGCAGAGCATTATAGGATTATCAGCAAGTAGAACTTGGATTTGAGGAAAGAATGGACTGTGAGATTGGAAATGTCAGTTCTGTCTAGTCCACCCATATCTAGAGTAAAACCTAGTCAAACCTAGACTATCACTGTCACCATCTATGTCTGATCAAACTTACCAAGCCCCAAAGGCTTTCTCCCTTAGAAGCTTTCTCCCTCAGAAGAGACAATGGGATGGAATGGAAGCAGCGCAGACTTCAGATTCACCTACTTAGTTTCAAATCCCATGAAAAATTAGTTGCTTCTTACCTCTTAGTCTACTTCTTCCTAAAATAGGAATAGTAATTATCTCATAATATGATAATGAGGATTAAATAAAATATAAAATAACTACAACTGTAGGCACTATGCATACATGAATACATCAGTGAGTGAAGACTGTATTGTAGTCCCTTAAATACAACTCCTTTGTATCCATGAGATTTGCTTTCCATCTAAAAAATCATGTGTCCATTAGTAGTGCATCTATGGATCTTGAGAAATGCTACATTTGTGGTGATGGCAATTAGGAATGATAATATTGGTGTCATGATGACTATCAGAATAATATTCAAAAACATTTTCTTAGGTTTTTCATGTAAGCTATGGTAGTTATAAGGGTGAAATGTTTGGTGGGGTTAGAAAAAGGTTGTTCTTGCTAGAAAGTTATAAGTTTGTAGATAATATTATTGAGAATCAGAATAAAGTGAATCTAAATAGTAAAACATGATTTTCATTAATTGTAACTAACATCTCTTTTCCATTATACCAGTGAGAAGAAGCTCATTACAGATGCCCTTAATAAAAATCAGTTTCTGAAAAGACTGGATCCTCAGCAGATCAAAGACATGGTGGAATGCATGTATGGGAGAAACTATCAGCAAGGGAGTTACATTATTAAGCAAGGAGAACCAGGAAACCATATCTTTGTGCTGGCAGGTGGGTTTCACAGATTTTTCCAGATATATAATAAATATTTTGCCTGTTATGATTTTCTGCAAACATTTATAAAAACATAAAACTGGTTGCTCTATTTGTAGAAAACATAACATATTGAATCATGAAATAGCAAAATTGTTGATCTAATCATGATGATGGTAATGTTTAATTGATGGTAATATTTAATATGTGCTGAATAATTTCTATATATCAGGCATCCTATTGAGCAGTTGATAGAGAGATCACATTTTATCTTCTCACCAACCCTGTAAGGCAAGTTCTATTTTCTCCATGTTACTAACATGGACTATGTCTCAGAGAGGGTAACGCCACATAGATCATAAGCAGTGGAGGTAAAATGCACACTTAGGCAATTTGACTTAAGAATCTGCACTTCTAATCACAATACCATGTGCTCAAAAAGTGTTTTTATTCAAATACTGCTGCTGAAGTTAACATTTTAAGAAATGCACCAGGAGAAAAGAAAACAATTATTATTGTGGTTCTGGAAGATGTTTTGGTTTTATACCAATGATTTAAAAAGATAATTTAGGTACTTTTGACCAACACACAAATCAAATGACATATCTTACAATTAAAACCGGTGTTTTTAGAATTATTTAAATGGTTTCCTTCATCTGTGGTAATTTGAACATGCTTACAAGTTGGGAAGATTATAATGGTTAGATAGGCAAATGATTTATTTTTGTAATGTATAGATCTTATAATGACTACTCAATTTTTTTCTCTTTTGTATATAGAAGCAAAAAATTATCTAAACAGGGATTAAAGTTATAGAACGTTTTGTCACATTCTGGCACAACTTTTTGAGTTTTAGGGAAAAAAGTTAAAACTGGCTTACCCAGAAGGAGTGATGAATGGAGGAATGCTTTCTATTTGTTGATGTTGTTGACATGTTGTTGACAACAATGATGGTTGTCATTCCTTCATTGGCATTGTAGTTCCTGATAATCTAAGTATTGCTTTTATTCTTGTTCCTTTGGGGCCTTAAGTGTGAGGCAGAAGTTGTCTATCTAAACAAATTAATAAACATGTATTATTCTATTTATAGTATATAAAAGATTGTTTTATATACGTTGATTATTTGAACATGCCAATTTTATGATTATTATTTGCCGTATATATCTTTGTAGGCACCTTTAAAATTATACAGTCATTCCCAAGGAATCATTCTACTTAATTAATGAGTTATAGTCTTAATTTAGCCAGCCTTCAAGTTTTTAGGGACAACTTTTCCCTCTTGCAACTTTTCTCTTAGCCATTTTAACTTCTGCTTTAGCAACACTAGAGTATTGCAGCAAGAGAAGATAGGTCATTAAGTCAACAAATATTTATGAAACCTCCTAGGAGAGGATGAGAAACTGATGTAAGCCTATCTCGTTCCTTCCCAAGTAGTTCTGATGAAAGGCTCAGGGAGAGAAGAGGTTGAACAGAAGTCAGTATCAAAACAGCTATTGAGATCAGAGTTATGGCACACATGGAAATGAAAATTGGATGGTTTCTTATTTGAATTAATTGTAGTGTCACCCAAGGACTGAATTGCCTGGTTTAATTATCTGGTTGAGCAAATTAATTTGATAATTAAAAATATTCCCTTTATGAAACATAGCATGAATAGCAAATAGTAAAAGCATATTTAGCTTTAACTTTTGATATTCCATATAATTCTTCAGCATTGCTCAGGCACAATGAGCCATAACCAATTTCAAGATAAAAACTTGAAATGCATTAAGATTCATGATATCAACTGGACACTACCACTAAGTGGCTTTGATAGAATAGAATTTAGCTAATGAGAAATTTTAAATTGCATGTCTAACCTCTAGGATTTGGAGCCAGAACTGAGTGTTTTTTTTCCTTGCTAGTATAAATTCTATCAGGCTAAGGATATCTTCTCTTTTGTCCTCTCTATGGCTCTGGCACTTGGAACAGTTCCCAGCACAACATAGGTACTCGGATCAGTTTTGCTGAATGAAGGGATGGACAGAGATGATACAGAGCTACTTAGCAGTGAATTAGGAAAAGGAAAGACTAATTCTTTAAGGAAAGGAGATATTACCCCATCACTTTTTTTTCCTCTAAGAACTTAGATCTTTTTTGCTTATGCTTTTAGTTGGTTAAGGTTTTGTTTGTATTTGTTCAAAGCAAAAGAAGAGTAAAGCTGCCAAGGCAAAAAAAGAAAAATAGTGAAGGGGATGCAAACTTCTGCCTCTCCCTTCCTCCAGTCTTTGCCCAGGTAATAAGTGCCAAACACTCTTCTTAGTGATTTTCATTTGTAACTAATATGTATTACATTTAAATAAATTAGAGGTTAGATAACAATTGAGGCACCATGAAGTAACTTGCCCAAGGTCACATAGGCAAAAATGAGTTGAATCAGGACACAGCCAGGCAGTCTGATTCCAGGGCTGATCTACTTACTGGTTATGACGGGTTGTCATTCCATCATTGTGAACAATTTCTCTGTGTTTTTATGACATACAGTGATTGTTGAGCTCCTCATAAAAGAGAAATAGTTTCATGTATTACATTTCTCATAGGTTATAATGAATTTTAAACAAAACACTTGCCATCCACTGCTTCAGGAAAATAACATTGTAAAAATAATAATATTAATAATAGCTAACACACAGCATTTACTATGCACTAGCCATTGTTCTAAATTCCTTACCTAGATTAACTTATTTCATTCTTGCCACTGTAAAATAATAATAATAATTATTATTATCCTCATCGTTGATGAGGAACTTCAGACAGATAGCGTAAGTTTCTCAAGGCAACCCAGCTAATAGTAAGTGGCAGAGGTGATTTCAGTCTACACTTTTAACTGGTGTATTATAATGAGAATCATA
Source organism: Homo sapiens (assembly GCF_000001405.40). Taxonomy (NCBI): domain Eukaryota; kingdom Metazoa; phylum Chordata; class Mammalia; order Primates; family Hominidae; genus Homo; species Homo sapiens. Next base: position 81,171,919 of record NC_000004.12, on the reverse strand, counting down.
AAATATCTTACCTGTATACTTTGTGTGCTTTATGATTGTTTTATTTTACTAATTTATAGTATCTACACGGATTTCGATTATTTGTGTGTGTGTTTTTTAAAATTCTGCTTGATAGAGGGTCGACTAGAGGTGTTCCAAGGGGAGAAATTGCTGTCCTCCATCCCTATGTGGACCACATTTGGGGAGCTTGCCATTTTATACAATTGTACAAGGACTGCCTCTGTGAAAGGTAATAAAAGAGGAAATGCTCCATCTTTGAATTGTTGTGGCATGTTAAAGATAATCTAGTCCAGTCACATTTGCACCCTGATCCACAGTCTGTTTCCCATTTTACCCTATATGTTCTTATAATAGAAATGCTATGCCTATTAAGGGATTTATACTGAAGCACTTACCTATATAATTTAAGCTAAAAAGAACTTTTCTGGATACCTGTGTATAAAATGTAAAATGGCTTTTAACTATTCACAACGGTAAAGACATGGAATCAATCCAAATGACCATCAGTGATAGACTGGGTAAAGAAAATGTGGTATGTATACATTATGGAATGCTACACAGCCATAAAAAGGAACAAGATTATGTCCTTTGCAGGGACATAGATGGAGCTGGAAGCCATTATCCTCAGCAAACTAACACAGGAACAGAAAAGCAAACACTGCATGTTCTTACTTATAAGTGGGCGTTGGACAATGAGAACACATGGACACAGGGAGGGGAACAACACACACTGGAGCCCAATGGGGAGGGGTGGGGGAGGGAGAGCATCAGGATAAATAGCTGATGTATGCGGGGCTAAATACCTAGGTGTTAAGTTGATAGTTGCAGCAAAGCACCACAGCACACGTTTATCTATGAAACAAACCTGCATGTCTTGCATGTGTATCCTGGAAATTAAAATTAAATTAAATTAAAAATAAAAATAAAAATAAAAAGGTTTGTTCTGCCAAAAACAATGGCTTTAAGCTGACTGATTCCATATTTGCTTTAATTGCCACTTTACTTTTTACTACATAGACACATGCCTTTGGCTCATCTAGAATGTTTGCTTTCTAGCTAGTCTCAACGAGGTTCTGACCATATTATAAGCCAGAGAAATTAATTAAACCAATGAAAATGTATCTATATCAAAAGGAATATGAATTAGAGTAATTAGAGTATTCATGAATGACTTTTGGGATTACTTTACTTGCTTTTCTTTAGATTTGTTTTATTGACTTTATGGCAATCTTGGGTTTCCTTCTGAATTACATAGATATGATGTTTTTCAGTGTTTGGGACTAGTTTATATGTGTTAGCCTTGCTGAGGTATTTGATAAAAATGCAGATTTTGGGTCTCTACTCCCAACCTGAATCAGAGTCTCTGGCAATGGAGCCCAGGGATCTTGTATTTCTAACAAGAATATCAAGATGATTCCAATGTAAAGTTTGGTAATCCAGAGCTTTGGGTTTTGATCAATTTTAGAGGCTTTGTTACTCGTTTTTAAAAAATTGTACAACCACAATTTCATCTAGATTTTTTAGAGCCACCACTTCTGGCCCACTTTCTTTTTAAATTTTATACTTGCCCTTAAGTCTTTACTGTAAAAAAAAATTATCTCAAAAACTTTCTTTCATAGTCTCTTTCAAATAATTTGTAGGCATTTTACACAAAAGTAACTGTAGAGATTCTTAAATAATATGTAGCTTCTTTAGCAACAGTGTCAGAACAACATAAAAAGACACATAAAAACACACACATACACACAGATAGCTTTAACTTTCAATTATCTGTTTGTGACTTCACTCTCCAGATTAGCTACAAATTGACTGCCTTTCTCTTGTATTACAGCAGAAATCTAGAGCACATCCTGATGATCTAGTGCATAATTGGGAATTGCAAACTAATTTGAATATCATCCTAACTGTAACATAATTAGAAAGGAAATTTTTTGCTAGTCATTTCCAAATAATAGTGTATTTCAAAGCCAAAATGATTTATAAAATTGCTCACTATTTATTTTTCTGTCTCCTTCATTTGTATGTTTAAATAATACATTTTCCAAGAAGTACCATTTTATAAGAACATATAACAAATCCATCGATTTATATTTTGGAATGTTTTCACAATGTTGTACTAAGTGTTTTATTGTTTTCTTGAATTTTCTAAAGCTATTACCAATGTTAAAACATGGGCACTAGATCGAGAGGTATTCCAGAATATAATGAGGAGGACAGCCCAAGCTAGAGATGAACAATACAGAAACTTCCTCAGAAGGTAAGAATAATACATTGGGAGACAGTGAAGACAGTGGAGTCGCCATATTGTGAATATATTGGTTTTATCAGAATAATTATTCAACTATAGCTACTTCCATTTAAGCATTTTCCACATGACTAAACCAAAGGAACATTGCTTGCAGTAAATGCCAGTACATACCAAAAACTGTATTTAATTTCTATTATCCTTGTATACTCATTTATTTCTCCTGCTAGTTTTTGCCCTTGTATTGATAGAGTGATAGTGCACAGCATAGAAAAATGTGCAAAAAACCTAAATTATTAATTGGGTTGCTCAGTTGGCTTTGAAAGGCATTTGAAATTTGAAAGTGGTTAGCCAAAAGACAAGCTTTCTAAAAGTACTTTGCTTAGAATGGTATTAAAATTAATTAAATTTACTATGCTTATTTGCTTTACCTGAGACTTTCTTATTTGCATAGTCACGCCATCTTCCAAATTACTATTATTTGTAGCAAATTGACTTGCTAAAAATGTTACTATACTTGTCATGATGACAGGGACTTGGAACACACTCATTTTGTGAACTATTCTGTACCTCAACACCTTGGATGAATCAATTTATAAGGAAATAAATGTCTGTGTAAGTGAAAAAAACTAGTCTCACATTAAAACTTTATTTGGAAGTATAAGTTATTTATTTAAACAATTTCTGTATCTTTAATGGGAGTTTTGCAAGTTTCTGAAGCTGCAATACATTCTATAATGAAATGTTATCTATGATATGTAATAATAATATTAATAATAATATATCACATTATTTCCAAAAATAAATTATAAGTTCTTATGGTAATTTTTTCTAGCATGAGAATCCTTCAAAGCTAATGATTTTAGGGCCATATAGTGCTTAGCTTATAGTGTAGGCTCAATAAACATTGAATGAGATTTCTCATCTAGAATCTTACTGATTTGTCCTCCCAGAGACAATAATGTCTCCTGGCAGAGAGCTGCAATAATGACAAGCAGGTTCTCTATCTATATGCCAGCCAATGCATTAGCTATCATATTGTGGGGCCCACTTGAATCTAGGTGATCTCAAAATCCACCAACTGAGCAACATAGGTTAGCATTTAAAGCTGATAAGCCACACTTACGTAAGGGCCAAAAAGAGGTACCTAAAAAAACCAGTGTGCCTGGGTTGTATTTGAATGTCTGAGATAAAACGTGAACTAGGCATAGCAGTTAATTACCTTGGAGTCTAGTATGTTCTTAGTGGAAAAAGCTCGGATAATCTACTAGTGAATATTCATTCTTTCCTTCCCTCCTTTTGTTGTTTCCTTCATTCAACTAATACTTATTAGCAGGCACTAAATATTGTTGATTTAGTGGTTAACAAGATAAACCTGATTCTTGCCTTCAGAGAGGGGAGACAGAGAAAATATTTTTTCTTATATCTCTTTTGCCACCAACCTCCAAAGGTGCTAGGTTTATAACAGTTAATTTTCACTAATGTTATAGATGCCTGTTTGGACCAGAAGTAAAACTTTCATGATAGCCTGTGTTAATAACAAGTTCTGATGACTCTTTTACCATTTCATCTATAGTGAGATATATTAGGGGAATACATTTCTCTTTGTTTCATAATATACAGTATTTTTTTTATTTACATTTTTTATTATGAAGTATGTGATATTCTATGTGATATATAGTACATATGTAAGTTATAAGACATCATAACAAAATGAACACCCGTGAAGCTACTGCCCAACCTAGGGAAGAGAAAGCAGTTGTTGAAGTTCTTATGTATTTCCCCATGTTCTTTCCAGCCTCTTCCTCCTCTTCTCCTTGAGAGTATCTGCGTTCTGAAGTTTAGTGATCATTCCCTTGGTGTTGTTTATAATTTTGCCTGTAGCTTGATTTAGTTATTTTTGAAGTTCATCCATGCCTCTGGCTATCATTAATTTTAAAAGACAGTACAGTATGACTAATAATCAGAGATCATTTCAATGTCAATTCCCATGTTCCCTCCCAACCCCGGATTCAGTCCTTACTTAATTATAAGGATTTAGACAAAAATCTGATTCTCCACTGGAAGCAGAGCTCCTCGCACAAACTAATAAAACAGATATTGAGAAGTAGAGAGGAACAAACTTCCAAATGCGATTCACTGTGAAAACCAACAACAAATGTAAATTTATTTTTACCAAATAGACAAAATGTGATTTTTTTCCCCCTGTCTGGTATCTTACTATTTTCATTTGTTTGCCTGTGGCACATGTCTGTGATTATATATCTATAATTTCCAGTGTATATGAAATTCAGTTATTGATGTGTTTTCAGTTATTTGGACATTTACTTTGGAAGAATCAAAGTGCATTATATTTTTTAAAATGTATGTAAAGATTTTAGAATCTGCATATGTGTATATTTATAGTTTAATTCAGGAAGGTAATTGAAGGTTTCTTTTTAATTTTGAAGTGTATCCTTGCTGAAGAATTTACCTGAAGATAAATTAACCAAGATCATTGACTGCTTGGAAGTGGTAAGAAATTTTGAAGTAAAAAATAAATTTCATTAGAAGATATTAGAATGTACTTATATTATTAACACCATAAATAAATAAAAAGATGTCAGAGCACCAGTCTACAGAGACCAAGAGCCTTTTTCTATGGTGAAAAATCTTAAGCCAACTCATGCTGTGTTAAGGGGTGGAGAAAGGTTTAAACTCTTCAGATGTATAAAAGGAAATTGGATTTGCATGTGTAAAGTGAAATTTGATTTACATATTTTAATCTTTTTAGTATATCTTATAAAACAAACCTGCCTTACTCAAGAAGCATTTGATTTTCTACAATTAACATCACAATCCCCTACAGAGTTTTCATAGTATAAAGGAGTCACTGATGTATAATTAAGAAATGGAGCAGAGAAAGGGTATGTTGGTCCTTTTGGTGGCAAGCCTCTGAGTCAGGCTGTGAAACACTTTCTACTTGAACACTCTAGGCCACAAAAAACACATTTTAAAAACTGTATTTAAGAAGCACTTTATCTATTTTAACATCTAGGGGGAAACGGCATATTGGAATGTGTTCAAAAACTCATTTTAGGCATCACCCAGATGGTTGGTTCTAGTCCAAGACGAGTCAAGTCTTTTCATGAATAATGCTTTTACGACATGTACCTTGGATTCTAACGATATGCATTTTGTGAAAACGTCTTCAGATTTCAGAGAATTAAAATTCAAAGCAAATACGTTCTTTAACTTTTTGGGGGGTCAATTTCATTGAAACCCAGATGGCTTTATGGAATTTAAAGGAGGTAAGGAATAGTAAAGGAGTCACATATAGAATTTAAGCTTTTATAAAGCTGTTCTCAGTGGGAGGAAAAAAAACCCCCAAAACCCTGCAAGGCTGATTGTTGACAGATTCATGCCTCTGTCAATCACAATATACAATGTAACTAATATCTGTCAAGCAGGGAGTAGGGACCATTTTATCCTTAAGTGTAAGTGACACCAGCAGTGTTTCCATTTACAATTCATGCAACCCATCCAGCAGTTTATCAAGGACAGACCATGATGACACAGTGCCTGGCCGTGTGGCCCCAGGGGGTTCAGATATGAAGTCATTTTCAAGAAGATTGCTTAGCCTGCATCTCTGGAGAGTCTCCCATTGTAACATAACCCAGTCACAGATGTTACAAATTAATAATTCATCCTAATTTCTAAGGGTGTTTTTTTTTTTACTTAAAGCTGGAGAGGCCCTAGTTTTTTTTGTTAACCAAGGAAATCTGTTTTTAATATAATACTAATAGAGTAGATTCACCAGAGGGGATTTCTATGTTGACAGCAAATATGAAAATTTAGTATCATTAAAAATAAATGGTAAATTAGACGTATTTATAGCAGCCACAGGCAATTGCTACAGAATATATAGATGGGGGCTCAAATCCAGTAATAATTAACACACAATTCAAATTTGAAAAACTCATCTTTTCAAACACCCTGGAAAGGATTTGCTGTATCTCAGCATTTGCAGACAGCAGCACAGTTTATAAAGGACTCTTTATTCATACCTGGCAAACAAATGTGTCTCTGTGATGTGTGAAAATTCTCAAATGTGAAAGTGATTAACGAGAGTAATGGGATCTATTTAGCGCTAAGAAATGCATGTGATTTACCAGCATAGCTTGGACTAATGACCCATCAACTTGGTCCTGACAACAGCCAATCACTACTGCATCATTTTTGACAGTGTCCAGAGTTCTAGGACCAGCTGTCCCACAAACTGTCCCCATAATCTTTGAAAAAAACAGGCTAAATCTGTCATGCAGTTTAGGAGTTGATTTGGGAGTTTTGCATGTAGCAGGGGGTAAGGAAGGGAGAATCAGAATTTCCCATCACCAAGTAATTGATCTGATGTATTTGTTGAAACTTAGACGGTTGAACTCCTAGAACAAATGGCCCTGATTGTGCAATGTTCCAATGGCATTTCTTGCTTTAGCTTAAATCACTCAGAACATTTATAGAGGCAGCCATTGCCTTTAAGCCTCTTCTTGTGTTCTGATAAGAAAACGAGGGTGGGAATAACACCAACATACTAGAGTTCATTAAGAGTTAACTAATGAGAACTGTAAAGCATGATATAGATTCAGAACGGAGTGTACAGATTAACGACAATGAAAATAATAATATGACTTACGTACCTGGCAGTTATGCAGTATGGAAGGTAAGAGTGGAAGTAGTTTCTGCCCCCACACATGGTGATGAATCCACTAAGCATGAGATTTGACTGTGACATCCTCCTGAACTACAAACATTGTGATTCATCATAAAGTCACCTGTTAGTCACAGTGCTTTGGTATTTGATCCAGTGGCCTTTTGCACTGTGACTCTAACCTGCCATCTTTCACAAAGCTGAGGTGTTTGAGGCTGGGATGAGGGTGTAGTGTGGAGCACCTTTGCCCTTAGTCAGATTGCCTGTGGTGCCGATGAGAAGGCATATTCCCAGGCACCACCCCACACTTACTGAATCGGAAACTCAAGTTGGGGCCCCCAGATCCACACCTAACACTCTAATGGTGGGATTTTTATGCTTATTAAAGTCTAAGAAGCACTGGTTTAGTTATGAATGTTTAGAGTTTGCAACCGTCTGCCTCTTTCTTTGGGAATTTTCCATTTTAATCACTTTTTTCAAGTCTAGTCTTTCTTGTAGTCCTTACCAACACTCGCATAAACCAGGATTTTTTTTTTTCCTGTCATCCTAACGGTTAAATCCAGAGCCATAAGAAAGTTGAAATAATTGTAGATTTCGCTACAGTTTATGAACCATTGAGCTAAAGGTGGGGCAGCCAGGTGTTGTACAAAGTTCACTAGTCCAAAGTCTGGAGATTAGGGCTTGTGGTTCTGCCTCTGTCACTCTACCAGCTGTCAATGAATTGTGGTAGGCTTTAGCATATCATCTCTTCATCTACAAAATAATGGAGTGGTGGGCCATATCTCTATGAGCTCTTTCAACATTTAAATCATAGAATTCTATATGATTGGCTCACCCAAATAGAAATAACTTCTGTTGTTTTTCATTTTGTAGTATCTGGTTCTTTGAAAATAACCAATCAGGTGCTACATGCCCGAATGGCTGACTGGGCCCACCTGATCCAGGTGTGCTTGCCTTAAAACTTCTGAGGTGTTCTAAACTCTTGTACTTGGAAAACAAAGATTAACTAGTAACAACATAAATAACTAACTGTAAACAATTTTTTAACCGACACACTTGGTACATAGTCACATAATGCACAGAGGTGTGTGTGTGTGTGTGTGTGTGTGTGTGTGTGTGTGTGTACTATACATCTGGTTGTATATCATCAGTACTTCCAATACTTCTTTTTAATGAGGATTTCATTTGCTTTTTGCAAGATACTTATAAAGAAGATTTGTAGCTGCAAATTAAAGGCTCTAAGGAAGTCATTGCCTTCCTTCATTTTCTTTGTCCTCTGTCACTTTGGAATTTCCTTCTGGTTTTATATATTGTATTTACAGGTACTCAGGCTCTAGCATTTTGCTAGATTATCACAGAATGAACATTTTGTTTACAGTAAAAATGGGCTACAACTCATTACCAGGTTATGAAACCAATTTAGAGGAACATTTAAAAAATCAGAATAGTAAGTATAAGTATTATTTTGAAAAATGTTTCAATTTTGTATAAATATGTGTACCTGCTCTTGTGTGTGTATTGGGAGTACATGCAGAATGTATTTCTTACTGTTGGTCAGAATTAAAACATGCTTGAAAACCATTGCTCTGCAGGATAGGGTCTATGGCTTCTTGGTCCTCTAAGGGACACCTTTGCAATGTAACCACAAGGACAATAACCACACTATTTGCATTTCTCTTTTTGGTCTCAGTGACCACCCTGGCTTGACTGGTTGCACTCCCCAGTTGGCAAACACTGGGCAGTCTAGCATCACAGTCAGTACTTACCACTATATATTTTTGGTCTGACCTATTTCCACAGCCTTTTCTGATCTATGAAGTTACTGTCAACACACTGGGAGGTATTATTTATCTTCCTCCCATGGTTTTGGGTGACAAAGAATCATCCGTGGAGAAAAATACCACTAGGAAGGTTGTCCCTTAAAAAATAACAAAGGTCTTCCTCAGTATCCCCTTTCAAGCTTTTCCCCCTTTGAAGTTATTCGGTTGTTAGGAATTAAAGCCACACCTCTGCACACATCAAAGGCTTCATAATAACTGAAGAACAGCCTAACAGCACTTCAGAAATTCTCTGTGTTTCTTCTGCTCCATGTGGGTAATGAGGACTGAAATTGTGATGGGAACAGGAGAGCTTGAAGAGCAGACTGTCTGAAATAGGAACTTCGAACACAATCCCCGCAGCTATAGCAAAGAACATTGAATGTTAGCTATGTGGTGAAGACAGCTGGACTGTGTGGGGGATCAGGATCATCCTATAAGGGTCATAGTCATCTCCACTGCAAAATCACACTGCATATAGTCAAGGTTTGTGATAAAGCTAAAATTGGGAAGGGATGAAGGGTTTGAGTAAGCAAACTATGAGGCAAAGACACGCCAAATATCATTGCTTAAATAAAACAGAAGTTTGTCACTCGTTAACATAACTGTCCAGGAAAGATAGTCCCAATTGGCTCCACACAGTCATTTGGGAATCCAAGCTGATGTCTACTCTGCCATTTTCAACATGTGGTTTTCCAGGTTTGTGTGGGCCATGCCATTATAATTGGGGAAAAAGTATAAAGACACATGCATGAAAGCATGCATGGGCTTGGTGTGGAATTGTCACAGATCACTTCCACTCAGATTATTTTAGATAAAAGTTCATCACATGGCCATAGCTAACAGCAGGAAGGCTGGCAAGTGTAACTTACCTGGACAATCATATATTCCTCTGGAAGACTTTCGTGACCAGCTTACAGCCTCTTTCGTAAGATTAACAGTCACCGGGTACCTGGTGTGCACTAAACATTCCATCAGGTACTTTAGATACACCGTCTTAACTAGTCCTCAAACAACATTAGGTGTAGTAGTAAATATAATCTTAATTTTACAGAAAATGAAACAGAGGTCCAGAAGATGTAGGAAACAGCTGAGCAAATCATTATCATCCTCCTTCTTAGCATGGCAACAATTAATTGTGCATTTACTATATTTTAGATGCTCCTACTATTTCAGGCAACATTGCCTTTCATTGGCTTATTGTGGTAGGCAGAATGGTCCCCTGCCCCACCCCCCCTTCCAGATATCCAGATTCTAATCCCTGGAATGTATGAATATGTTATATTACATGGCAAAAGGGACTTTAATGGTATGCTTAAAGTTTGGGACTTTAAAATAGATTATCATTAATTGGCTAGGTGAATGAACTATTGAATATAGTTGCATGAGCATAGAATTATTTCTGGTTGGGGTCAGAGAGATGCAGCAGAAGTGAAATCCAGAGAGACTCTGAGGGTAAGAAATGAACATGCCATCACTGGTTCTGAGATGGAGGGGGCTCTCTGCAGGGATGGGAGAGACCTCATGAGCAGTTCCCACTGTCAGTCAGTAAGGAAATGGGATCTTATCCTGCAGGTGAATCCTTCCAGCAACCTGAATGACCTTGAAAATGAATTTTCCCCTGAGCTTCCAGAATGACATAAGCCCTATTGATACCTTGAGCTCCATCCTGAGAGACCCTAACTGAGAAACCTAATTGAGCAACACTGTGCCTAGGCTTTCTGACTCACGGAAACTGTAAATAATAAAAGGATGTGGCTCTAAGCCACCAAGTTTTTGGTTGTTACAGCAGCAATAGAGAACTAATGCGCTTTCCTAAATCTTTGAAGATATGGGTTGTTACTTTAATTTTATGGGTTGAGGAAAGTAAATTTCTTGTAAACTGGGATTTGAATATAGACCTGTCTGGCTTCAAAGAACTTTTTAACTCCAAAAATATTATGCTTCCTTCCATGAGATATTGACATATCTTATAAAATGTACATAGTGTTATGAAAATAAAACGCATGTTTGTTAGTATTAGGAGTAACATTTATTCCAGAAAAGTAAATAGGTTTTAAGAATAAATGATCAAGAAAGTATTGAAAAACAACAGATAAAAAAGTAGTTTAGTTTGGAATTTATTTTCAAGTCTAAAAGAAAAACAAGAGAGAGCAATTATGTGGTTAGTTATGCCTTTTTAAAAATTAAAGAAGCCACTTTTGTTTGTATAAATAATTAAGAGATCCATCTTAGTTCTGTGACTTTAAGACAAGATCAAATTAAAGCAAAGTAGAGGTGGACAGTTTAATCTATCCTTTGTTTTCTGAGATATTTAGTCGCTCTTTTGGTCTGACAGGTGGATAGATTACTTTTCCCTCCTCAAGAATTTTCTAATCACATAAATATTTACAAGAGAAACAGATGTTAATAAATAAAAAGAAATATGCAATAATTTAAGATTTCATGAGGATAGATCTAAATTAAATAATAGAATTTACACATAAAAATTTCCAATGTCAATGTTTTATGATGACAAATCTTTGGATATTGCATTATGACAGCACTACCTACTGTGAATGTAGAATCTTCCAAGAGGTTGCTTTTCAAGGAATTAGAAATTAAGGGTAATTTTCCTAATATCCATTGGGGATATTATATAATCACTTGTTCTTTTTCTAGAGCCCAGACTCAATTTTTAGAATGTTGCTGATCACCAAACAGTTTATATTTAGATTATGCAGGTGAAAGCTGGTGATTGTTGCCTGGCTCTCATTTCTCTTTATATCTTTGGACCCCATGCCTGAAATTCAGTATTCCAGGTGAATTTACTCTGTGAAAGAAGAAAACATAAGTGCAGATAATAAAGCAAAAGTCTCCTTACTTTTCTACAGTTTATGACTGCAATGTAAGAAAAGCTTACAGTTTCAATAGGCAAAAACAACAACCAAACAAATGCTAAAACAGGTGTGTAATACTCATTTCAAAGACAAAAGGAGTTCTGCTTTCTTTATGTCTTCAATTATGTGTCTCCACTTGATCTTACATTATCTTTTTATTTATTTATTTATTTTTTATTATTATTATACTTTAAGTTTTAGGGTACATGTGCACAATGTGCAGGTCAGTTACATATGTATACATGTGCCATGCTGGTGCGCTGCACCCACTAATTCGTCATCTAGCATTAGGTATATCTCCCAATGCTCTCCCTCCCCCCTCCCCCCACCCCACAATGGTCCCCAGAGTGTGATGTTCCCCTTCCTGTGTCCATGTGTTCTCATTGTTCAATTCCCATCTATGAGTGAGAATATGCGGTGTTTAGTTTTTTGTTCTTGCAATAGTTTACTGAGAATGATGATTTCCAATTTCATCCATGTCCCTACAAAGGACATGAACTCATCATTTTTTATGGCTGCATAGTATTCCATGGTGTATATGTGCCACATTTTCTTAATCCAGTCTATCATTGTTGGACATTTGGGTTGGTTCTAAGTCTTTGCTATTGTGAATAGTGCCACAATAAACATACGTGTGCATGTGTCTTTATAGCAGCATGATTTATAGTCCTTTGGGTATATACACAGTAATAGGATGGCTGGGTCAAATGGTATTTCTAGTTCTAGATCCCTGAGGAATCGCCACACTGACTTCCACAATGGTTGAACTAGTTTACAGTCCCACCAACAGTGTAAAAGTGTTCCTATTTCTCCACATCCTCTCCAGCACCTGTTGTTTCTTGACTTTTTAATGATTGCCATTCTAACTGGTGTGAAATGGTATCTCATTGTGGTTTTGATTTGCATTTCTCTGATGGCCAGTGATGATGAGCATTTTTTCATGTGTCTTTTGGCTGCATAAATGTCTTCTTTTGAGAAGTGTCTGTTCATATCCGTTGCCCACTTTTTGATGGGGTTGTTTTTTTTTCTTGTAAATTTGTTTGAGTTCATTGTAGATTCTGGAAATTAGCCCTGTGTCAGATGAGTAGGTTGCAAAAATTTTCTCCCATTTTGTAGGTTGCCTGTTCACCCTGATGGTAGTTTCTTTTGCTATGCAGAAGCTCTTTAGTTGAATTAGATCCCATTTGTCAATTTTGGCTTTTGTTGCCATTGCTTTTGGTGTTTTAGACATGAAGTCCTTGCCCATGCCTATGTCCCGAATGGTAATGCCTAGGTTTTCTTCTAGGGTTTTTATGGTTTTAGGTCTAACGTTTAAGTCTTTAATCCATCTTGAATTGATTTTTGTATAAGGTGTAAGGAAGGGATTAAGGAAGGGATCCAGTTTCAGCTTTCTACATATGGCTAGCCAGTTTTCCCAGCACCATTTAGTAAATAGGGAATCCTTTCCCCATTGCTTGTTTTTCTCAGGTTTCTCAAAGATCAGATGGTTGTAGATATGTGACGTTATTTCTGAGGGCTCTATTCTGTTCCATTGATCTATATCTCTGTTTTGGTACCAGCACCATGCTGTTTTGGTTACTATAGCCTTGTAGTATAGTTTGAAGTCAGGTAGTGTGATGCCTCCAGCTTTGTTCTTTTGGCTCAGGATTGACTTGGTGATGCGGGCTCTTTTTTGGTTCCATATGAAGTTTAAAGTAGTTTTTTCCAAATCTGTGAAGAAAGTCATTGGTAGCTTGATGGGGATGGCATTGAATCTGCAAATTACCTTGGGCAGTATGGCCATTTTCACGATATTGATTCTTCCTACCCATGAGCATGGAATGTTCCATTTGTTTGTATCCTCTTTTATTTCCTTGAGCAGTGGTTTGTAGTTCTCCTTGAAGGTTTGTAGTTCTCCTTGAAGAGGTCCTTCACATGCCTTGTAAGTTGGATTCCTAGGTATTTTATTCTCTTTGAAGCAATTGTGAATGGGAGTTCACTCATAATTTGGCTCTCTGTTTGTCTGTTGTTGGTGTATAAGAATGCTTGTGATTTTTGTACATTGATTTTGTATCCTGAGACTTTGCTGAAGTTGCTTATCAGCTTAAGGAGATTTTGGGCTGAGACAATGGGGTTTTCTAGATATACAATCATATCGTCTGCAAACAGGGACAATTTGACTTCCTCTTTTCCTAATTGAATACCCTTTATTTCCTTCTCCTGCCTAATTGCCCTGGCCAGAACTTCCAACACTATGTTGAATAGGAGTGGTGAGAGAGGGCATCCGTGTCTTGTGCCAGTTTTCAAAGGGAATGCTTCCAGTTTTTGCCCATTCAGTATGATATTGGCTGTGGGTTTGTCATAGATAGCTCTTATTATTTTGAGATACGTCCCATCAATACCTAATTTATTGAGAGTTTTTAGCGTGAAGCGTTGTTGAATTTTGTCAAAGGCCTTTTCTGCATCTATTGAGATAATCATGTGGTTTTTGTCTTTGGTTCTGTTTATATGCTGGATTACATCTATTGATTTGTGTATATTGAACCAGCCTTGCATCCCAGGGATGAAGCCCAGTTGATCATGTGGATAAGCTTTTTGATGTGCTGCTGGATTCGGTTTGCCAGTATTTTATTGAGGATTTTTGCATCAATGTTCTTCAAGGATATTGGTCTAAAATTCTCTTTTTTGGTTGTGTCTCTGCCCGGCTTTGGTATCAGGATGATGCTGGCCTCATAAAATGAGTTAGGGAGGATTCCCTCTTTTTCTATGGACTGGAATAGTTTCAGAAGGAATGGTACCAGTTCCTCCTTGTACCTCTGGTAGAATTCGGCTGTGAATCCATCTGGTCCTGGACTCTTTTTTGTTGGTAAGCTGTTGATTATTGCCACAATTTCAGCTCCTGTTATTGGTCTATTCAGAGATTCAACTTCTTCCTGGTTTAGTCTTGGGAGAGTGTATGTATTGAGGAATTTATCCATTTCTTCTAGATTTTCTAGTTTATTTGCGTAGAGGTGTTTGTAGTATTCTCTGATGGTAGTTTGTATTTCTGTGGGATCGGTGGTGATATCCCCTTTATCATTTTTTATTGCATCTATTTGATTCTTCTCTCTTTTTTTCTTTATTAATCTTGCTAGTGGTCTATCAATTTTGTTGATCCTTTCAAAAAACCAGCTCCTGGATTCGTTAATTTTTGGAAGGGTTTTTTGTATCTCTATTTCCTTCAGTTCTGCTCTGATTTTAGTTATTTTTTGCCTTCTGCTAGCCTTTGAATGTGTTTGCTCTTGCTTTTCTAGTTCTTTTAATTGTGATGTTAGGGTGTCAATTTTGGATCTTTCCTGCTTTCTCTTGTGGGCATTTAGTGCTATAAATTTCCCTCTACACACTGCTTTGAATGCATCCCAGAGATTCTGGTATGCTGTGTCTTTGTTCTTGTTGGTTTCAAAGAACATCTTTATTTCTGCCTTCATTTCGTTATGTACCCAGTAGTCATTCAGGAGCAGGTTGTTCAGTTTCCATGTAGTTGGCGGTTTTGAGTGAGATTCTTAATCCTGAGTTCTAGTTTGATTGCACTGTGGTCTGAGAGATAGTTTGTTATAATTTCTGTTCTTTTACATTTGCTGAGGAGAGCTTTACTTCCAAGTATGTGGTCAATTTTGGAGTAGGTGTGGCGTGGTGCTGAAAAAAATGTATATTCTGTTGATTTGGGGTGGAGAGTTCTGTAGATGTCTATTAGGTCAGCTTGGTGCAGAGCTGAGTTCAATTCCTGGGTATTCTTGTTGACTTTCTGTCTCGTTGATCTGTCTAATGTTGACGGTGGGGTGTTAAAGTCTCCCATTATTAATGTGTGGGAGTCTAAGTCTCTTTGCAGGTCATTCAGGACTTGCTTTATGAATCTGGGTGCTCCTGTATTGGGTGCATATATATTTAGGATAGTTAGCTCTTCTTGCTGAATTGATCCCTTTACCATTAAATAATGGCCTTCTTTGTCTCTTTTGATCTTTGTCGGTTTAAAGTCTGTTTTATCAGAGACTAGGATTGCAACCCCTGCCTTTTTTTGTTTTCCATTTGCTTGGTAGATCTTCCTCCATCCTTTTATTTTGAGCCTATGTGTGTCTCTGCCTGTGAGATGGGTTTCCTGAATACAGCACACTAATGGGTCTTGACTCTTTATCCAATTTGCCAGTCTGTGTCTTTTAATTGGAGCATTTAGTCCATTTACGTTTAAAGTTAACATTGTTATGTGTGAATTTGATCCTGTCATTATGATGTTAGCTGGTTATTTTGCTCGTTAGTTGATACAGTTTCTTCCTAGTCTCGATGGTCTTTACATTTTGGCATGATTTTGCAGTGGCTGGTACCGGTTGTTCCTTTCCATGTTTAGTGCTTCCTTCAGGAGCTCTTTTAGGGCAGGCCTGGTGGTGATGAAATCTCTCAGCATTTGCTTGTCTGTAAAGGATTTTATTTCTCCTTCACTTATGAAGCTTAGTTTGGCTGGATATGAAATTCTGGGTTGAAAATTCTTTTCTTTAAGAATGTTGAATATTGGCCCCCACTCTCTTCTGGCTTGTAGAGTTTCTGCCGAGAGATCTGCTGTTAGTCTGATGGGCTTCCCTTTGAGGGTAACCCGACCTTTCTCTCTGGCTGCCCTTAACATTTTTTCCTTCATTTCAACTTTGGTGAATCTGACAATTATGTGTCTTGGTGTTGCTCTTCTCGAGGAGTATCTTTGTGGCGTTCTCTGTATTTCCTGAATCTGAATGTTGGCCTGCCTTGCTAGATTGGGGAAGTTCTCCTGGATAATATCCTGCAGAGTGTTTTCCAACTTGGTTCCGTTCTCCCCATCACTTTCAGGTACACCAATCAGACGTAGATTTGGTCTTTTCACATAGTCCCATATTTCTTGGAGGCTTTGCTCGTTTCTTTTTATCTTTTTTCTCTAAACTTCCCTTCTCGCTTCATTTCATTCATTTCATCTTCCATTGCTGATACCCTTTCTTCCAGCTGATCGCATCGGCTCCTGAGGCTTCTGCATTCTTCACGTAGTTCTCGAGCCTTGGTTTTCAGCTCCATCAGCTCCTTTAAGCACTTTTCTGTATTGGTTATCCTAGTTATACATTCTTCTTTTTTTTTTTTTTGAGACGGAGTCTCGCTCTGTCGCCCAGGCTGGAGTGCAGTGGCGGGATCTCGGCTCACTGCAAGCTCCGCCTCCCGGGTTCACGCCATTCTCCTGCCTCAGCCTCCCAAGTAGCTGGGACTACAGGCGCCCGCCACTACGCCCGGCTAATTTTTTTTTTGTATTTTTAGTAGAGACGGGGTTTCACCGTGTTAGCCGGGATGGTCTCGATCTCCTGACCTCGTGATCTGCCCGCCTCGGCCTCCCAAAGTGCTGGGATTACAGGCGTGAGCCACCGCGCCCGGCCTATACATTCTTCTAAATTTTTTTCAAAGTTTTCAACTTCTTTGCCTTTGGTTTAAATGTCCTCCCGTAGCTCAGAGTAATTTGATCGTCTGAAGCCTTCTTCTCGCAGCTCGTCAAAGTCATTCTCCGTCCAGCTTTGTTCTGTTGCTAGTGAGGAACTGCGTTCCTTTGGAGGAGGAGAGGCGCTCTGCTTTTTAGAGTTTCTAGTTTTTCTGCTCTGTTTTTTCCCCATCTTTGTGGTTTTATGTACTTTTGGTCTTTGATGATGGTGATGTACAGATGGGTTTTTGCTGTGGATGTCCTTTCTGTTTGTTAGTTTTCCTTCTAACAGACAGGACCCTCAGCTGCAGGTCTGTTGGAGTACCCTGCCGTGTGAGGTGTCAGTGTGCCCCTGCTGGGGGGTGCCTCCCAGTTAGGCTGCTCGGGGGTCAGGGTCAGGGACCCACTTGAGGAGGCAGTCTGCCCGTTCTCAGATCTCCAGCTGCGTGCTGGGAGAACCACTGCTCTCTTCAAAGCTGTCAGACAGGGACATTTAAATCTGCAGAGGTTACTGCTGTCTTTTTGTTTGTCTGTGCCCTGCCCCCAGAGGTGGAGCCTACAGAGGCAGGCAGGCCTCCTTGAGCTGTGGCGGGCTCCACCCAGTTTGAGCTTCCTGGCTGCTTTGTTTACCTAAGCAAGCCTGGGCAATGGCGGGCGCCCCTCCCCGAGCCTCGCTGCTGCCTTGCAGTTTGATCTCAGACTGCTGTGCTAGCAATCAGCAAGACTCCGTGGGCGTAGGACCCTCCGAGCCAGGTGCGGGGAT
This sequence comes from Homo sapiens, assembly GCF_000001405.40. Classification (NCBI taxonomy): domain Eukaryota; kingdom Metazoa; phylum Chordata; class Mammalia; order Primates; family Hominidae; genus Homo; species Homo sapiens. Next base: position 81,154,091 of record NC_000004.12, on the reverse strand, counting down.
ATAATCTCGTGGTGCGCCGTTTTTTTAAGGCCGTCCCAAAAGCGCGATATTCGGGTGAGAGTGACCCGATTTTCCAGGTGCTGTCCATCACCCCTTTCTTTGACTAGGAAAGGGAACTCCCTGACCCCTTGTGCTTGCTGAGTGAGGCAATGCCTCGCCCTGCTTCGGCTCGCGCACGGTGCGCGCACCCACTGACCTGTGCCCACTGTCTGGCACTCCCTAGTGAGATGAACCCGGTACCTCAGATGGAAATACAGAAATCACCCGTCTTCTGCGCCGCTCACGCTGGGAGCTGTATACTGGAGCTGTTCCTATTAGGCCATCTTGGCTCCACCCGCTCTTACATTTTCTTTCTCTCTCATCCCAACAGGAATACTATGACAAAGGAGATTACATCATTAGAGAGGGCGAGGAAGGAAGTACCTTTTTCATTTTGGCAAAAGGAAAGGTAACTATTAATTAAAACTTACTAAATAAAAAAGATTATTTTAAATCAGTTTGCCATAAACTCAACTATGCTTTGCATTGCAACATAGGTCCTCCACTTTGGACAGATAAAGGAGCTTCTACCAGTAGAGTCCCATGCAATTCTGTTTGAACACTGGCTTTGGAGTGGAGGCCACAGGACCCCCTAAGAAATAATAACTTCTTAGTGATGTTATGTAGGTCACTTGATTTTTTGGGGAGAGACCTAGCTTAATTGTATATGAGATGGCTGGATTATTTATAAGGTCCCTTCTGGCTATGACTATGTGATTCTCAATCATCCCCAGATTCCAAGATCAGTACTAGAATATTTTCTTATCCAATAGATATGACAAGTAGCAGGTGGAGAATGAATTCAGCAATTGAAGACAGTCATGATTAGGTATCAGGCTTATAGAACCAATATGGCTCAGAATTTCAATTGATACAAAACAGCTCAAGTGAATTTAGATGCTGATGCAAAATTTATACTAACATGTACAATAAGTCTTTTTCTTTACCTAGATATTGAATGGATAACATGTTGCCAGTTGTTCCAATGTTGACTCAACAGTATTACTCAGAGATGAAAAGCATTTGTGAAATATTGAAGGGAAGGGCCAATTCTTGAGCACCTGTGTGTATAAACTGTCAGATTTTTACATATGTTATATGGAAGGGTTTACCATCAGGGAGTCAGGCACTGCCATTTGTAAACTGGATTGTGGTTGAACTTTGAATTTGGCCCCAAGTGAAGGAAAAACATGAACAAAATAGTTTCAAACCTCTGAAACTCTTCAACACTAGGAACTACTTCTTGTCATTTTTTCCCAACCTAGACCCCATACTTTGAAATAATTCTTGGTGATAAAAAATTGCATTTTTTATTTTTAAAATTTTAATTCATTGTGACATACATAAATGCCAAACAGAATTTCTATTCAGCCTGAATCAGCACTTGTTACCATGTTGAATTGGAATAACTCTAGCCACAAACAGGGCTTTTTCTGTTTGGCCCTGCTGGGTGGGGGGTTCTTAAGCCTTTCTGGGCAACAGATTGCTTTGAGATGCCCATGAAAGTTGTAGACCCTTCTTCAATCAACATTTTGCATTCAGTTTTAGGAGGTGCACAGGATTCGGCCAGTCAATCTATTGATACCAGACTCAGAACTACTGATACTCAACCTTATTTTTGATTAATTTGTCAACTATATTAGGCTTTTTAAAATAGAAAAAGTTCCCACAAGACCATTATTATTTGCTTTGTGGATCTCTCAGAAGGAATCACTGGATTCACATTTAAAATTTAACTTTAGGAGGTGGAGTTTAGATGGTGAATTTTCCTCTTACAGTGGGTAGTTATTTGATAATATTAGACCATAGGACTTCCCACATCCATCAAAATGGGCTGAATGTAGGTAATTGTCCTAATTACCATAAAATTAAAACAAAGTATTGTCTTTTTCCTTGTCCAAGTTTATATAGGTCTAGAGGGTTTGGTTGAATGAATGTGTGTTCAGATTCTCCTTTTTCTTCAGTCTCTTTCTGTTTGTATTGCTTAACATTGTTTAGGTAAAAGTAACACAGAGCACAGAAGGCCATGATCAACCACAGCTGATAAAAACACTGCAGAAAGGAGAATACTTTGGAGAAAAAGCTCTTATCAGGTGAATTCATGAATTATATGCCATACTTTGGATAAAATGCTTCGACTATTTTTTATATAAAATCATTTAGAGTTGTTAAATTGAGCTACCAAGTTAATGGCAACAAATATCCTAATATTAAATATTTTGAAGTGATTTCTTAAATTTTTATGCGGGAAATGAGTATGCTAATTTGCAGAGGAAATAATTGGAAAATCTTAAGTTTGCTAGTGAAAATGAAATTGGTGTTCTATTAAACTTTTTAGTTTCAAAAAAGGGTCTGAGAAAAGGTTAAAAATGGAAAAATTACACTTGTATACAGATCTTTATATTCCCAACATTTGAAATATTGCCTACTTTAGAGTTTTCACCTTTTTAAAAATTACGAAATAATTTTATATATTTTGTGTGCTTTTAAATCATCAGGTCAAAAGTATTTTTCTTAAGAATTTTTATCAGCTCGTTTTGCAAGTTTTAAAAACAACTCAAAATAGTATATTTGCAATTTTTACCACAACCTTCAGTCTTGAGGTATGAGTTTATTTACTGTTGATCTAATTTATGGAAGAAATATTTTTAAAAGTTAATTAAATGGCTCGAGGGACACTTTGCATTTCCTGGAACTCATAAAACCTCAAGTCTGATCAAATGCATTTTCCTAAATATAAATAACTTTATAAAATATTAAGTTAAAGTTAGAGCAACACACTTTATTGGAATTATCTATGTTTTCAAGTTAATACTTGGAATTATTTAAGAAATCAGTTAAAATTTACATATGATTAAATGCATTTGTTTCAACTGTATGCTTTTGGAAAAGGAATAGTATTCCTGTTCATTTATCTTCTTAACCTTTGCCTATGAAACCCCAATTCTGCTGATTTGTAGATCAGGTTTACATAAGTACAGAGCAAAGAAAAAGTGTTCAGATATTACCTGAAGACAAATTTGAGTCTTTAAAAATCACAAATCTCTTAGTTTTTAAAGAAAACCAAAAAAATAAAGTTTTAGCTATTATGTAGCAATTTAAAAGTGGGATTTAAAGATAAGCTGAATTCTTCTTTACCACTTTATAGCCGGTAATGAACTTGTTTCAATATTAGGAAAATTAATATTCTTTGTGTTTATTTGTAACAGAATATAAATACATTCATGCAATATAATAATGTAATATCATTATCCAGGGCTTCAGTGTCTTTGTTCTTAACGCTTACAGATTTTCTCATACTTTCAAGCAAAACAACGGAAGCTTGAAAGTGCACAGCACTTTATAAATGCAGTATAGAGTCAAAATAGCTCTTGAAAGAAAATATGTTATTCAGTTTTGCTGGGCCTGAAATAATTTATGCTATATGTTGTGGCTAGCCAATTATAGTGTTTTCCAATAAAAAAAGCATGGGAATTTATGTTTAAGATAGACACTCAACTCCTAAAGGTGTTTGAAAGCATTAAGCTAAAATCAATGAGAAGGAAAGTTGGAGACAAATATTTTTATATTTTTGTGCCTTTTAATGCTATCACATTTTAGGGCCACTGACCGTGATTCAGTAATCCTTATATTCTGTATATTTCCATGACTTGACATTAAATAGTCCCTGGAGTTCTTTCAGAATTTTATGTGCAAAAATAAATCTATGGCACTTACACAGTTACTATGGAAGAAACATAAGTGTATTTGCATACATCTAATACTTGTAAAATGTTTGCAGAGAATATTCTCAGTCAAAATCATGATACTGACATGCAAAAGGAATACCATATGCCTTTCCTTTCTCTAAGCTCACAGATCAAATGGTTGGCCTACAATCAAGATCATGTCTGTGTCTATGTCTATGTCTATGCTTATGTCTATTTCTAGATCTGTCTGGCTCTACATCCACCATCTCTATCTCTATCTCTACCTCTACATATACAAGCACAAATTTTCCTGCTGCTGTCTCAAAGGTCCATGAAACTGAAGTGTTTTCACTGATATCTTCTAACAAGGACCCTGTAAACTTGGGAGGGACAGTGAGTTATGTCAGAAGGTCTCAGAATGTGAGCTAGGTAGATAGGGGTCTTTGAAATAGTAGAGATGGGCTGCCAGTGTTTTTCCTGTCCCATTACTAAGAGAAGGCAAAGGAAATACACTTTGTGCGATAACATTTTTGATGAAGTTGCCTAGAAGAGTCCCAAAGCATACTCCAGGGTATGCTTAGTACTCCCAAGTCATCTTAAATGAATCTCAGAGCACTGGGTGCCTTGTGGATGTACCTTTTGTGTGTGTGTCTTTTAGTTTATAACTAATAGAGGGAGGAAGCTAATATAAGTAAAGGTCTGTAAAGAAGTACTTTACCTGATACCCACTGGCATTCATTAGGTAATTAAATTTGCTACCATTGGATCATATATAATTGCAAGATGTCAATTATAAGATGCACTGCTATATTATATACACCTAAGAAAAAGAAAATGCTGCTAATTACACTACAATTTATCAATTTTAAGACATGCTCTAATTTCAGAGATTTTAATGGAAAAATATACACTTTACACTTTGAAATGAAAGTATTTTAGTATTTAATTAATTGGGTGATATGGCACTGAAACTACTTTTTTATTTTATTAATGATTGGTTGATCTTATGCTAATTACTTGACTGTTTTTCCAATACATTTCTCTGATAAGTTAATTTCAGTTTTGCCTTCTTGTTAGTGAATAGTTCTCCTTTGATCAGAGGAGAGCTATTTTATTTTGACTTTCACAAAGCTCAGAATGAGATTCCATAAACATTTGTAGTCACTTATTCTTCTCTGTTCCCAGTGCAATTATCTTCTTCTCCTCTGAATTCTTTGTGTACATAACCTCTACTGGGGCACATTTCAAATCTTTTTTTGGGGGGATATAAATTATGATGTTTAAAAGCAGCAGTTTTTGGGAGGTGTAAGTGATGGTGGTGTTTTCATACAAAGTTAGTACATTCCCTAATAAAAGTGGATGTTTAATTTCTAATTATAGTGAAAATTGACTTTCCTATTTTTGTTTGCAGTGATGATGTCAGGTCAGCTAACATTATTGCTGAAGAAAATGATGTTGCATGCCTGGTTATAGATCGAGAGTGAGTATACTGATGTTGGAGGAGGCAGGCCACTGCCACCTTTGAAGACTTGGCCTTCTGTTACTTCAAGGCCGATCTGTTTTCTCATTCATCACCACTTGGAAATACTGGCCGATCTCAGCTGCAAGTACATTCTATTAAAATTCATGGGAAGGAACAGGGCCTTCTGATCTGAATCGGTCTGTGGCAGGGGCAGATGCTGGAAGGCTAAATATTTTGTGTACAGAGTTTATACATAAATATCAGCAATAGGCTGATTTAAATTCTGCATCTTCTAGGGAAGTAAGTTGATTCGTTCGCTTATGGATTTCTTCCATACAATATAGTGAACAATTACATAATTTATTTCTAAAATGCCTTTAGTGGTCAATTTTTGAACAAAACCTTCTCTCAAAGCATAAAATATATATTAGCTACATATTTTTCCAGAGTGGCTTTAATTGAACATTTGTTGTAATTTGTAAGTGATGTGTGTCAATATTAATCTCTAAATGTCTTAGGTTATTCTTCAAAATAAGTCTCATTTTATATGCATCACTCATTTGAAATAATGTTTGAATCTGCCCCCCTGGGTTTCTCATTAATCAACTCAATATTTCTGGTTATCTACTTGACAAAATGAAGGAAATTCAGTGATACCAAAGGCAGGCCATTGTCAGAAAAGTCATAGTGTAGTCAAAGAAATAGAGCATACGCATATGAAATATTAACAAAGATTATAAAATGACAACAGATATCACAAGGTAGTATATAGTTGACTGTTAAATACAACATTTATTGAAAATAGAGTCTAGAGATATAGAGCTGGAAAAAACTTTAGAGCATTTAAAAATATATTTTTATTATAGAAAATTTTAAACATATCAAAAAATAGAATGGTATCATGAACCCATAATGCAAGTTAAACAATGATCAATTTATGCCTTATCTATACCCCTTTACCACTTCCTGCTATCTCCACACTATTTTTAAGCAAATTCCCAACATAAAATTATTTTATCTATACATTTTAGTTGCATTTCTAAAAGCTAAGTATTACATGTAATGCATGACCACAATAAGGCTAACATGCCTGAAATGTTAACAATAATTCTTAATATCACTTAGAGTTATTTTAATTCTCTCCTCTACAGATACAAAATGAGTCCCAGGTAGGTTACATAATTTCCCCAGCAGTGCTCCCTGTGTTGGAGCCGTCCCTGTCCAGGCTTTCTAACTCATTTCCCCATGCTTCCCACCATGCCAGTTGGCTCCCAAGCATGTGTTCAAAAAGAGGAGCAATCACTATGCAGTAAAGTGGTCAAGGTTTTATTTTAATTTTTAGGTGTGGAAAAGGGATTTAAAGTATTAACAGGACTTTTCTAGGCAAAGAGGAAATGTCAAAGTCACCCTAGGTGAAATAAAACCCTCAAGCAAAAACATAGGACTAGAAAAGTGTGAAGTGTGTTCAGATAAAGGTAATCTTTGGATGCCAACTCTCAAATGGAAAATATATTGGTACAGTATTGTATCAATAATGCATTGTTTTCTATATATGTTCCTTAAAATATGTGCAAGCACTGAGTGGCATTAGCTGTGTGGTAAAATATTATAAATGGATGCAAAATGCTAGGACTACAAATAGGATAGAAAGGAGGAGCTCATTTCTTTTTTCTTCATTGTAATCACATACACCACATATTTATACAATGTCTCATGTATTCATAATCCATAAAGAGGATGCAATAATTTTATATGGCTTACAAGTTACTTGCCAGTTTATAATTTTAAAATGTTTAGTTCATGTGTGTATAATTTAGAGTCTGCAATATACAAAGTATTGCATTAGGCACAATGAGACATAAAAATTACGTGAATATTTTCTGTGGATAAGACAAACTGATTATCAGATATAACTAGGTTTACTTACATCTTGGATTTACTGAGACAGTTCAGATTACACCAGCATATTTAATATTGACACATCATTTCACTCAGAAATATATTCCAGCTTGGATGATAAATTATATGATCATCCTAGCTATGACTTATAGACTAGAATAAGATCCCACAATAATGCTCTCATAGCAGCCTTTATACCCTTGTCATATCATTATAATACCTTGATTGTTTTATTTAACATCTGTCTCTCCATGCTTCTGTAAGCTTCATAAATACAGAAACATGTAACTTGTTCACTGTGGTTGCAGTGCCAGCCTTTGACATAGTCCTTGGCATATGGGAAGTGCTCACCAGATGGTGGCTGAATACAGGGCACCATCCTTGCAATGAAATATAGTGACTGAAAGCCAATGACTTTTTATTTCTTCTTTCTTAATTCATGATTTTAACAAAGGCTTAGATTGCTTACAGTGCAAGAAGGAGAGTTAAACTTTGAGTTATATTTCCTATTTTTAAATGTGATAAAATATGAAATAACCCTTTTGTATGGCAAGAGCTCTAAACAAATGGGAAATGCTATTTGTCACATCTCTATCACTGACTGTTGGGACAAATTTCAAAAAAAAAGTTCATTAGTTATTGCTCAGGCTATAGCATCTGAATTAATGTAGGCTATTTGAATATCACAGCAACAATTTTGTAGCTGTTTAAACTTGACTTTAGGATTAGTTAGTGGAGAATTTCTAGAGACCTATAGCACCCATCTCACCTCTATTTAGAAAATAAGATTTGTTTACAGTAATACTGCAGTTAGTTTAATAGCCAGCAAAATAATGGTGAAGTATAGAATAAATAAAAGTAAAACAAAGTAAGAGTGTTTCCTTTTTAACAGAAAATTTCAACTATTGGAGATTAGAAAATTCATAGCCATCCTGTTTTATGTCTCACTACTCTTCAGTCGACAAAGGTCAGTCCATAGAACAGGCTAGAAAAGAGTAGAGAATAGATCTGGAGGGGAAAGGAAAAATACCCTGCACAGTAGGTAATATGTGCTTAATAAAGTAAATATAGATTGGTTGTCAAGTAAATGGGTAGAGGCAGTAAGTTGAGACAGCACAATATTGAGGTGGCTCTGGCTTATTAATTTTAGGTATTTTGAGGTAAACTCACTCTTTTCATTCTACTGTGTACTAGGTACTTAAAATGTTACAAAGATGATTAAAGCATGGTCTTTACTTTTAAGAAGGATACTATTTTGTAGTAGGGAAAAGAAGTACCCTAATAATTACCAGTCAAGATGGATTGTTGGAGTTAGAAGCAGGGAAGCATTGGAAGTAATCAAGAAAGTTGACCTTTCACTGGTGAGGAAAAGGATTATTTTTTCTCAAGGGCATAGGACTATGTTAGAATTCCCAGTGATCATGGACAGGAGACAGAGTGATTAGATCAGGCCTATGAGAAACCTGTGATCCAGGAAGGGTGAGAAAGGTAATGAGATGTTGGCTGATCCTCAGAGAACTACTAAAGTAAGGTAAAATGATTTGGATTTAATTATGAAGGAATGTGAAATGGAGAGAGTTATCTTGAGACAAGAGATAAATTTTATTCTTGATTTAAAATATATATAGCTTAACTTTATTAAGCAAAGTTAAAAGAATCTGTAACCCCTGTAACCTGTTGATTCAGTAAACACATCATGTAAGGCTGTTCCCTTCCCACTATCTTCTCTAAAAAATTGTTGTTAAACCTTGTGGAGGAATAGGAACACTTTTACACCGTTGGTGGGACTGTAAACTAGTTCAGCCATTGTGGAAGACAGTGTGGCGATTCCTCAGGGATCTAGAACTAGAAATACCATTTGACCCAGCCATCCCATTACTGGGTATATACCCAAAGGAATATAAATCATACTGCTATAAAGACTCATGCACATGTATGTTTATTGCGGCACTACTCACAATAGCAAAGACTTGGAACCAACCCAAATGTCCAACAATGATAGACTGGATTAAGAAAATGTGGCACATATACACCACGGAATACTGTGCAGCCATAAAAAATGATGAGTTCATGTCCTTTGTAGGGACATGGATGAAGCTGGAAACCATCATTCTCAGCAAACTATCGCAAGGACAAAAAACCAAACGCTGCATGTTCTCACTCATAGGTGGGAACTGAACAATGAGAACACTTGGACACAGGAAGGGGAACATGACACACCGGGGCCTGTCATGGGGTGGGGGGAGGGGGGAGGGATAGCATTAGGAGATATACTTAATGTAAATGACGAGTTAATGGGTGCAGCACACCAGCATGGCACATGTATACATATGTAACTAACCTGCACATTGTGCACATGTACCCTAGAACTTAAAGTATAATAAAAAAAAAATATATATATATATATAACCTTAAATACAAGGCAGAAAACTATAAAAAAGTTTCCTGTTCTCATTAATAGCCCCTTTGCTTTTATAAAATCAAAGGATCAATTATATATAGCTTTTAATAACCCTTGTACATATTACATCAACTTCAATATTTCATAAATTATTTAAAAAATGATTTATAAAGTCAGGAATAACCAGCTTGTGTTTTATGAGCTTAGAAGAATGTCAAGTTGCCTTGGTAACTATCAGCACGGAGCATTTTACTTTATTCTATCTATTTAGAACATTCAACCAAACTGTCGGTACATTTGAAGAGCTGCAAAAATACCTTGAAGGATATGTGGCAAACCTGAACCGTGATGATGAAAAAAGACATGCGAAGTAAGTGGAGGAATGTTTTCCTGAGCCGGAGCTGACTTCTGGCAGCCAATAAATAAAGAAGGGGACAGAGGGTGTGACTTGCTGTGTGGTAACTTTTAATGTGCCTTCACTAGAAAATTCTGGAGAGTTCTTTTGAATTGTTCTTCCACAAAGACAACACCACTTCCACTAGAATGGATATTATCTATTAGAAATAGTCTGCTCCTTTATTTTGGATGATGAGTAGGAATGTTAGGGAGAGGTGTTCTAATCCAGGGCCTTACAAAAGGGATATTTTATGTTGCCTGGTGACTTAGCTCAAAAAGACATTAATATTTGATTAGAGGTAAAGAGCAGGGTTATAGTTAGAATTTTTTCAAAATGTAAGGAATCTATTGCCCAGGGATATGTGGAGGAGGGGGTTGGGTAGGTCTCTAAATGTAGTAATAGTGATTAATTTTTTGTGTGTACTAGAAAACTCTACTTTTGTTAAATGAAAATTATTTGAAAGTTGTTTGCTGAAACATTTTTTTAGAGTGAATGCTTAAGCACATGTTCACTAGATAGTGCTATCAAAGCCATATAGTCAAAATTCTTAGAAAACTTAAATTTGAATTAAATTAGAATATTCAATCAGTACTTCATATGTTTTTGCAATTTTTACGCTGAAGGCCTTTTGTGGTAATAATTTATGAATATGTAACCCAGACCGGTAAACCTTAATTAAAAGAGAAAAAAATGGATATTACTTAGACATAAAGTAAGAAATGTACTTTTCATATTTCACAAAGCAGTTATTTTGGTTCAGCCATGCAAAGCTTCAAGATCTGATAAAACTAGCAAAACGTGGGAAAGATTGTCAATGTGGCATTCTCCTGTACATGCAGCAAAGGAAGTGGCTTCCTTGTTTCATTCCCATTCATTGACTGCTTTTCATGGTTGTTTTTTAACAGCTTTTTTGAGGTATATATATTTTTAGTTAAAAAAAATTTCCACACTGAGAAGAAACCTAAGAGGTACATTTTAAGTACCACAAACTATACCCATTTTACCTCTCATTGATTCAACTTGGCATTCGTCTATTTCCTGGTATATGCATATGTGTGAGTTTTATGTTTGTATATTCTATTGTTTTCTCGCTGCGTGGGACTGAATCTGATCCATAAAAGTTGGGATAGCCTTTGTGGCAACTATAAATCATAGTTACAGCAGAAATTAGACTGTCGTAGGAGTGAAATTTATGTATGGCATGACACCTTCTTAATTATGGGTGTGTGTGTGTAAAGTTTCACTTCTCTTGTACAGGCGGTCCATGTCTAACTGGAAGCTGTCCAAAGCACTCTCTCTGGAAATGATTCAGCTGAAGGAGAAGGTGGCCAGATTTTCCTCATCATCCCCATTCCAGAACCTTGAGATTATTGCAACACTGGGCGTTGGTGGGTTCGGAAGAGTTGAGCTTGTAAGGGGTTTACGTTTCAAGCATCTGAGAGAAGCCTTTTGACTTTTTTTTTGTTTTATATTCCAGCATATCTTGGAGGAATATATGAATTGTTACTGCTATCTTAAATGTTGCTTTGAACTGAAATTGAGAAAGTAAACTTTTCACTCTGTATATTGTATAGTAGCAGGTCTGTGCTAGTAAGTAACTTGTAATAATCAACTGCTAGTTCAAGCTTACATCACGTCTTTTGTGAATTTTCTTCTCGATGATTATCAATATACTAAGTAAGCACGTCCAAAAGGAAACATAAAATAATGTATTTTCTAACAGCAAATGCGTGTCTATATACATTCATGACACATTTAGTCTCTATACACTAAAGAAAAGAAGAATGTGTCAAGTGAAAATGCCATAGAGGTGAAATATTCAATGTTATAGTTGTGTTCTTTAAACAACTCCAGTACCATGTCTGTATTTCACCTTCATTATTTTGTTTTTGGGTTGCTCAAAATTTCGTATTGTGAGAAAAGAAAAGAAGATGAATGAAAGGGAATATTTGAAGAGAAGCCTTCTGTAGTGTTGATCAGGATATCTGGGAACTTACAGCCTGATTTTAGTTGTGCCTTCCACATCACCCTCTTTCTGAGCTATCAGCTTCCAAGGAGTAGCAAAAGTGGTACTGTCAAACAAGTATTCTAAGGAAAATGTGGAATAGAGATCTGTGGCCTTACTGGGTACAGATGGCTCTGAGGCCTTGGCAATTACCGAGTCCTTCTTTGCCCATCAGATTTTTAAGGATTCACCATACCTTATCTTCTGGGAACTCTGCTGACCTGTTGGTCTGCTGGCTGGCTTTGGGCATGAGCAGATTTGAAATGCTGTCAGGGGAGTCTGGACAGTACACTTCAGACCCAGTCCTTGCTTCATCTCTGATGGGGGCAGGGACAGATGTTCCTTAGGATAAATAATGTGTGTAATGTCTCTTATACCTTATGGAGAGATAAAGATAATACCTGTCTGCAGTGGTATTTTTCGTCAAAGTTTGTGGCAAAAGGATTCAATTAACAAAGCTGAGATCTGTTTTCTAATAATAATTGAAGCAGTAAATCCACCATTGATTTAAAAGTCATGGGCAGCACTAATGGCAAACATGAGCAAAATATGGAGTGCAGCCATTTCTGCACAATGTAGTTACTTATCTAGCATAGTCTGCTTATGGAGTTTTAAATCTATCAAAAAATTATTTTAAAATGTTTATTTCCTTTTTAGGAAATACTTGATCGTGCATCTAGAGTAGTACTGTTTAATAGAACTGTGCTGAGGGAAATGTCTTATATCTGTGCTATTTAATAGGGTAGCCACTAACTAGATATGACTGTTGAGCCTTTGAAAAGTGGCTAGTATAACTCAGGAACTGAATTTTTAATTTTATTTAATTTAAATTTACATAACCTCATGTGATTTGCAGTTACCATATTGGATGGTACAGATATAGAGCTTAGGCTGGGTGCGGTGGCTCATGCTTATAATCCCAGCACTTTGGGAAGCCAAGGTGGAAGGATTGCTTGGGCTCAGGAGTTTGAAATTAGCCTGAGCAACATAGTGAGGCCCCACCTTTATAAAAAATACAAAAATTAGCTGGGTGTGGTGGTTTATACCTGTAGTCCCAGCTACTCAGGAAGCTGAGATGGGAGGATAGCTTGAGCCCAGGAGGTCAAGGCTGCAATGAGCCCTGATTGCACCACTGCATTCTGGGCGACAGAGTGAGACCCTGTCTTAAAATAATAATAATAATAATAATAAATCTTGCTTTGAAAGCAAAGTGAATAATAAAAAAAGGCAATTCTAGTCAAAGTTTTTAATGTCACCCAATTAAAAATAGAATAGCTATCTAAATATTAAGTCTAACAGAATTTTATTTTGCTTTAATACAAAAATTTTAGAGCCACATCCCAGATAGATGAACTATTCTAGAAATAGTGATGAAAGGGAAGTGTGTACACTTGAATGAAAGTTCTCAAAGGGATAAGTGGCTAAGGGCTTCCATACTAATTAAACATGAAACAGTTTTAACTCTCATTGATTAGTGTGTTTTATATAGATATAAGTTAATTTTGAGGTATCTTTCCATTTCTTACATAGGTTAAAGTAAAAAATGAGAATGTTGCTTTTGCTATGAAGTGTATAAGGAAGAAGCACATAGTTGACACCAAGCAGCAGGAGCATGTCTACTCAGAGAAGAGGATCCTAGAGGAGCTGTGCTCTCCATTCATTGTGAAGTAAGTGACCACTTGGCTTCCAAGGAGTTAGGATTTTCAGGCTCTTTATTTATGTATTTACTTAAATTATTTTTATTTTTATTTTTAATTTTTGTGGGTACATAGTAGGCATATATATTTATGGGGTACATGAAATGTTTTGATACAGGCATGCAATGCATAATTACAGCATGGAAAATGGGGTATCCATCCCCTTGAGCATTTATCCTTTGTGTTACAAACAATCTACTTATACTATTTTAGTTATTTTACAATGTCCAATTAAATTGTTACTATGATGCCCCTGTTGTGCTATCAATTGCTAGATCTTATTCTTTCTTTCTATTTTATTTTGTACCCATTAACCATCTCCCCTTCCTGCATGTCTCCCCACTACCTTTCCCAGGCTCTGGTAACCACTCCTCTATTCTCTATCTCCATGAATTCAATTGCTTTGATTTCTAGATCCCACAAATAAGTGAGAACGTGTGATGTTTGTCTTTCTCTGTCTGGCTTATTTCACATAACATAACGACCTCCAGTTCCATCCATGTTGTTACAAATGACAGAATCTCATTTTTTTTGTATGGTTGAGTAGTACTCGGCTCTTGTTTTAAACTTTCCATGCAAGATGACAGAAAGAAGAGGTGGAGGAGGCCCCACTCTGGATTCTCCAACCCAGTCACAGCAACAGTACTAAAAATGTTAGAAGTTTGAGATCTGGGGTCAGATGTTTTCCAGTTGTTTTGATTCTTTTTTTTTTTTTTTTTTTGTCTTTTGAGACGGAATCTAGCTGTGTCACCCAGGCTTCAGTGCAGTGGCGTGATCTTTGCTCACTGCAAGCTCCGCCTCTGGGGTTCACGCCATTCTCCTGCCTCAGCCTCCAGAGTAGCTGGAACTACAGGCACCCACCACCATGCCTGGCTAATTTTTTTTTTTTTTCTATTTTTAGTAGAGACGGGGTTTCACCGTGTTAGCCAGGACGGTCTCGATCTCCTGACCTCGTGATCTGCCAACCTCGGCCTCCCAAAGTGCTGGGATTACAGGCGTGAGCCACTGCGCCCAGCCTGTTTTTATTCTTGAGTAAACATCACAAAAATGTGTGTGCGTATATATATATGTGTGTTTGAGTATGTGTGTATATGTATATATGAATATAAAATTATTGAGGAATAGTTTGAACTGGTTATTTTATTCAGACTTAATGCAGAATTGGGGACTAGGGAAGCAAGGATTTGTGTGAAACTCCTCAGAGAGCATCCTGATCTTGAATTTCTGCAGAAGGCAGCATTTGGGCACATGTGGGAAGCCAAGGGGGAATGTACCCTGGTCCTAGTAGTAGCTAGGTACCAAAACATCCATCTTCTAATAGTTATTCTTTCTGTAGCTGTCACAAGAGTTTGCAGAAGAAATATTAATTATTATAGACCACAGCTTTCTATCCTTGTGAATTCATGGGTAGGGGTGTAAGCCATCTTATGCTTTCATATATGTTATAATGCCCCAGAGTGTAGTTTTAGTGATTTCTGGGTAATGTAAAATATCCCTGCAATGACTAGAATTTATGCTTTTTGATCAAATGCTTTAAAAGACTCTTTCTCCCTATCCATCTTTCCAGACCCACTTTTTTCCCCAAGATCAACAAAGAAGTTTGAACCCAGGCAGTGCTGGCAATAGAGAGTCATCCAATTATCTTTATATTACGTTCCCAGAATGGATGCACTTTTAAAATTAATATTTTGTTAACAAGCTATGATGAGCAGCTTCAGGGCATGGATTAGATTGCATTCATTGTCTTATTTTCAACTCTTTCCAAAGTGCCTGGCATGTAGTCAGGCAATAATATGAAGAATAAATATTAATGACAACATTTATTGAGAAATTAACATACACCAGGTGCTGTTCTAAGCTATATCTATATGTATAGATAATCAACACATTTATCTCACTGGTCAATTAGAATAAAATGGATATTTTTTTTTCAATGAATATATATCAATAATATACATAATAATATGTAATCTGTATAGAGTAAAATGAATATATATGTTCATTGAGAAACAATGAGAAGACAGAAGTTGCATAGCTAATAAATGTCTGATCTGGATTCAAGCCTTGGCAGCTTGGTTCAGAGCCCACCCTTTGAACCACTTTACCTGATTGCTTCTTCTATCTGTGTATGATACGGCTGTTCTACTGTCTGCTTTGGTCTGGATGTGGTGCTAGGGAGAAAAGGGGGTCTCTTGATGATTAAGGCCCCAAAACTGCTTTTACACAAGGTTGAAATGTGATGCCCTGCCTACGTCCCGCTTCGGAACTGAGGCCCCCATTCCCCCAGCTTCAAGGAGTGTGGTTGTCAGCTGAGGACTAGCTCAGTCCCTCTCTGGGCATTGGTTTTTGTTTTTATTTGGTGAAGAGAACCACCTTGCTCAAGATCATACTCTCTCTTTGGGGACATGCATCCAACAACTGCAGAGCCTCTTGAAGCTGAGGCTTTTGTCGAAACTAAAACATAGCCCAATTCTACTTCCTCCCTTCCCCACAGGTGTTGTTTCCAATTGCACTCCCCACTAATCTGATTGCTTGCAAATTTCAGTCTCAGAGTCTATTTCCAGGGGAATCCAACATCAATTAACCAACTAGGGGATATAAGACATTGACATGAATAACTACTATGCAAGGCAAATCTTAAAGGTGACATATTCAGAGGTCTCTAAGGTTTTGGAAAAAGGAGAGGACATATTTGGTAGGTGGGATAATGAGATGTTTTGTTAAAAAGATGGCCTTGGAGGTTGGCCCTGAAGAATGGATAACATTTTTACGGTAAAACTGAGATTAAGAAGTTCAGTCTGTGGTTAGAGAAAGGCCAATCTAAGTGAGATCCACAGGAGCAGAAGCAAGGCAGTGGGGAAATCAAAGAGGATTTGGCGAGAAGCCCAGTGTAGTTGTGGGGTATTTATATGGAGATGAGTATCATTGTTCCTAATGTTATGATGATAGTTCTAAGCAACTTTAAAAAGGTTTTTAAACTAGATTTCCAATAATAACCATGTTTTTATCTGTCTTCACAGATTATATCGTACTTTCAAGGACAATAAGTATGTATACATGCTTCTGGAGGCCTGCTTAGGTGGGGAGCTCTGGAGTATATTAAGGGACAGGTAATGAAAAAGTTTGTATACTCACATCTGGCCTAAGGGCTATATTTATAATCATTAAAAAAGGCATAGAGGAAATCATTAGGAAATTATTATAACAAAATATCCCTTGATAAAATAAAGTAGTAATAGTGATATTGTCTTGGCTAATGCTACAATAGTGCCGTAACACCACGTAAGGTAGTTGTTGTCATCTCTGTTTTAGGAAGTAAAGAATCCCAGACTAGAGAGGAGGTGAACTATCCCAGGTTACATGACTAGTATAAAGCAGAGTCAGGGTAAAAACCCAGGTGTTTCTGATTCCAAATCTCCTAGCAGAAGCAGTGTGATAAACAAAGGTGGGGGTGGGGAGTGGGTAAGCCCTCACTGAAAAGCAGAGCAAGATGCCTGCGAAGATTCAGTTTTACACAAGGGGGTGATTTTTGCACAATTAAAATCATAGATATTTACTAAGCACCACCTATGTAAAAGGCTTCATAGTGCACGGTGGGGGTCAGGAGGAGACGCTCTAGACAGTGTGTACTTTTCTAACCAAAAGAGTAAAAAGTAGAAACTTTACCTCTAATGAGTTTAGAGTTTCCTTGGGAGATTAGGTATACAGTTTTAAAACATTTCATTGTTTAGTGAGAAAACTAAGTGATGACAAAGAAGTTGGAAATTTGTAGTTAAATGCCAAATAGTGTCGTAGATGGTGAGCTCCGAGGAGGGGAGAGAGAGAGAATGTGATGATAGAGGAAGGATTCGAATTAAACTCTAAACATGACCCAAATTTGGAAAGGCAGAGAGGCAGGGAAACTGCTTTAAGACAAAGCAGGGAAGTTGGGGTAGTATTATGTCTCTCTGTGGATGGTGAACAGAAGAATTTGGGTAGAAGTTAAGGGCAACAGAAGACATGAGAACGTGGGTTGGCGTTAGATTGTGGGAGTTGATGCAAGGCCACATATTTACAGTCAGACCTGTGCCAGTGTTTTTCAAAGTTGGCCACACATTGCATTCACGTGGAAAGCTTTTACAAAGTAAAAATGCTGGGCCCTAATGCCAGAGGTTATGATTCATTTAATCTGGGATGGGGTCCAGTAAACGATTTTTTAAATGCTTCTCAGGCAATTTTAATGTGCATTTATGGTTCAGAATCACTGACTTAGGCAAGGAAAGAACATTGAGCATCTGAGTAGAAGATGAATGTGTTGTATCATGAACATTTCATTGGACAGATTTGAATGGGGAGAACCTGGAAGGGTGAGGAGACTTTTGTGATACCTGCAAATGCATTAGCGTCTTCTATCTTTGCTTCAATAGGCAAATTTGTTGAGAAAATCTAAATCATTTTAGAAAAGGGAGTTACTGCTACCTGTTAGGCACTGTGCTTAATCCTGAAAATGCTTTTAAGTGAGTATCAAACCTTTTTTACTGATATGGATTCTGAGCCTCAGAACAGTTAAACAACTTTCTCAAGGATATAGTGAGTGAAAGAAACAGGAGTCAAACCCAGTTTCTGTCACTCCAAAGCCATGTTTCTCTGTGAGATCATGTGGCAAATCACCACTGCATTAAAAAAAAAAAATCCAGTCTGTAAAACTACACACAGTGCTGACAGAGGGGACTTTAATAAAAGATCAAGGGGCCCCAAACAGAAAAGACTTATGATTCCATTTTTACGGGGGTTACTCTGACGTGCTATGCAAACAGGAAATGAAAATAATCACTTGAGTCATTTTTAAGTCAAGCAATAAGTTGCAAAAGTCTGGTTCAAGCTCTCCACTATAGTAGCATTTTCTCCAGAGTTTGTGATGGGTGTCTAAAGAAAATCTTTGTTTTTGGATTTTTCTCTTTTACATGTCCATGTGTGATTACCAAAAACAGTTGTTGATATTTTAATTTTAGTGAAGTAGTTCTTGTTTGTATCACATATCTCCCTGAATTGCTTTATGATCTGCAAACAGCTTAATTCATGGGTAGTATAAAATACATTTTATTGTTGATACCCTGCAAAATATTTATATTGCATAAACCTGCCAATCCAATAATTGATTTGACACGTAGAACAGCACCAAAGATGTGTATCCAAAGTATTAAGAGGGAAAATGATTTCGTTGCAGAGGCAGCTTTGATGAACCCACCTCCAAATTCTGCGTTGCTTGTGTGACAGAAGCATTTGATTACCTGCATCGACTAGGTATTATCTACAGAGACTTGAAACCAGAAAACTTAATTCTAGATGCTGAGGGTTACCTTAAATTGGTAAGACAACTTTTCTCACTTACAGTCTCATATGAGATATTTCCCCTGGCAAAAGTTGTGTTCTAGTTGCAATTTTCTTTTTAATTTTAGTGCAGCTGTTATTCTCTCTTTGGCAGTATGGCCTTTGACATTTCCCGACAATACTGGGAGCAATGTTATGAGTACATTATTTTTGACCTAAGGATTTAATGTTTAACCATATTTGTGACTCCTACTGAAGGTTCACATAATAGAATGCCTTTAAAATTGGATTTTATCAGTATTTTTGTTTAATTTTTAATAATTTTAACTATTTTTAAATTGATTCTTGCTATACATAGGGAGTGGCTATAAGGAATAATAAAAGAAGATAATATGATTTCTACCCCAAGATATCCACTGTGTATATATAAAGAGAAGATAAACATAGAGACTTTAGTAGTTTTCTTGAAATATTTTGAGGTGATGATACTGGGGCCCCAGGGTTTAACATCACAATCCTAGAGTACAGGTTTCTTGAGGACACAGACTTTCCTGGCTGTCCATCTTTGTAATCTGCTGGTCCCTAATATGACTCCTTTGCATGCTACACTAAAGAAAAAATTACTATTAGTCACATAAACTGCTTTCAGTGAGAAGCTATAATAGACTGGACAGTCACAACTGAGGAGAAAGCAAGGCGCCTTGGGCCTCGGGAAGGAACCCCATTAGAATGGGGAACCCAAGCTTTTACCTGAGTCCATTTTTACTTCAAGGACGTTAAACCATTTCTGAACTTAACATTTACAAAGATATTAAAAGTTTCTCACTTCAGAATTTTTATAAAAGGAAATAAAAATAGCTCGCATTTAATGGGCAGTTACTATATTTAAAGCTACTATGCTAAACCTTTTACAATTAACCTATTTAACAATCTGTAAGATAGGTTAGATAGGTTTCATCACCCACATGTTATAGTTGTATAATTCAGCCACATGAATTAAATTTATTATGTGTAAATGCTAAGATATTTTTCTCTGTGGTAAAAGAGTAAAATAAAAGCCCTTTCATGTGAAATCTGGCTAACTTCCAAGAAACACTTTTAATCATTCAAGCTTTATTTTATCCATGAAAGATAGCTTTGAGAACTGGTGAGGTACTAACACAGG
This sequence comes from Homo sapiens, assembly GCF_000001405.40. Lineage (NCBI taxonomy): Eukaryota > Metazoa > Chordata > Mammalia > Primates > Hominidae > Homo > Homo sapiens. The sequence goes on along the minus strand of NC_000004.12, from coordinate 81,134,027 downwards.
ACCCCAATCACTTCTGTTCTTCACAATTCCTTCATTGGTTATGCCTCCTACATCTCTTTACAGAAACTCTTTGGAATATTGTAAAAGTAGAACCAACATGAGGGATGCAGACAATTCAGTAGCTCCATCTCTTTTTTCTCATAACTGATTTTTCTTAAAAAGCTATTTTTAAAAAAAAATAGCTATATATTTCACATGTATAGGCATAGAGATGCTTTTTTTTAAAAAAAACATATTTCACATGTGTAGGCATAGAGGTCAATAAATAACTGCTGTTATCCATTCTGCTAATTCATTTGCCAATCAGCTAAACAAAGAGTAAGAACTATAGCCTTCAGTGATTAAAAAGTGAATATTAAATATTTCAATTTCTAGCTATGAATTAAACTATGTACCTTGAAATCCTCTTACTACAAAATGTCTACTGGATGAAACATGAGAAGCAGTATTAAATATATGGCTGAGTTTATAAGACAACATGAGAATTCCTCTGGGGTTTGAAATCAAACTTGAGCAGCAGTATCTGGTGGAAATCACACATTGAAGCTGCCATCTTACATGCACCTAGCAATCCTAGGTGGTCTAGAGGTTTGATTTTAGTAGCTGTGCCCTCTGGGAACAGGAGACCAAGCGTTGGACTTATGTAGTGTGGGTAGGTGAATCAGAGAACATTGCATGAAACCAGGAATCACATACATTAAACTGCTGGAGAAATAGGAAACAAGAAAAAAATATCAAATTTGTAATGACAGATTACATGCAAAGAAACATGCTTTTCTCATTATTGGCTCTTGGTAGAGGAATAGAAACCTATCCCTAAGAATTCTTGGCCACAGGTTGGTCTTAGTGGAGGTTGGGTGCCCAGTCTTCAAGGATGGAAAAATCTAAGCAAGAATTTAAATGAAATGAATCTATGTTGGTGGCATGCCCAAGTTCCCAAGAATCAATGTATATTCTTTCTGGAAGAATATACTCTCAACTCAGGACACAAAGAACTACTGGATCTAAAGTTCTAGGGAACATAAGCCAGCATTAAAAAACATGAATGTATGAGGAAAAAAGCTACCATAGGCATTCATTTCCAGAAACAAAAAGAGCAGAAGCAGACACATAAGTGCCTCATTTATTGGAGTAATCAGATACAGACTATAAAATAAATACATCTAATATGTTTTAAAACTAAGAGAGGGTTAAAAAATGAGCAAGGATCAGAAACTCAAAAAAGATCTAACAGATATGGAAGGAAACTAACAAAGCATCTAATAAGAAATTAAGAGTATAATGATTGAAATTATATATGCAATGAAAGCTGTCATTAATGGCGGAGTAGCTTGCATTGGACTACCCTCTTGATAAGATTAATCATAATTGAAGGCATTGAAAAGAAACAAAGAGTAGATATTCAAGCTCTGTAAAAAGAAAACCGTGCTGGGTGAGATCCACATTAAAACAGCTGTAATACAGCTGTTCACTTCAGGACATTCTTCAGTGTATAAGGAATGGGGAATAAACCTCTAGTTAAAATTGTACCTCATGGTAAGGTAGTGAGCATTTTTTATCAGGTTGTGAACAGGACAAAAATATCTCCTCTTATCACTTGTATTTAACATTGTAATAGAGGTCTTAGCAAATTAGACTAAGAAAGATAAATGAAACCCCTAAATATTATAAAGGAAGAAGTTACCTATTTTTATTTGCAATGTGAATTTTTATTTAGAAAAGTCTGAAGACTCTACCAAAGAGGTACTTGAAACAAGAGGTAAGTATGATTATAGGTACAAAGTAATACACAAATATAAATTCTGCATTTATATACTAGCAATAAAAATTTATAAGTGAAACAAAATAATCTTCATAACACTAACAATTATAAAATAATTTTGAGTAAATTTCATATGTAAAAAGTATGAGACCTTTACATTAAAACCCACAAAATATCACTGAAAAAAAACCTAAATGGCAAGATATACTATATTCATGGATTAGATAATTCAATATTTGATAAGCTACTCTCTAAGATTCAATATTACTGCATTAAAAATTTGAGCAGCCATTTTTTTAGAAATGGAGATGTTTATTCTAAAATTTACATAGAAATGCAAAATGATTAGAAGGGTCGATAAACACTTTGAAAAAGAACAAAATTAAAGAATGTGTACTATCAATATCAAGACAATAAAGCTACAGTAATCAAGGCAGTATGATATGGGTATAGGAAAAGACAAATAACTCAGTCTAATAGAATAAAGTCCAGAAATAAACATGTACAGTCAGCAAAAGAATCTTTTCAAAAAACATTGCTGAAACAACTGGATATCCATATGTGGAAAAAAATTAACCTAAATCCCACCACAAACCATATACAAAAATTAATTCTAGATGAATCCTAGACCTGTAAATCACCTAGACGTAAACATAGGGTAATATTTTCACAATTTGAGGTGGGCCAATATTTCTTAGAATACAAATATTTGCAATATATATTTACATTACAAAAGGCTTGTATCTAGAATATGTAAAGAACTCCTACAAATCACTAATAAAAAGACAAATCAATTTTTTAAAATGGTCAGCATCTTAAAAAACCACTTCATGGTGGCTGGCAAGATGGCCAAATAGGAACAGCTCTGGTCTGCAGCTCACAGCGAGATCAATGCAGAAGGCAGGTGATTTCTGCATTTCTAACTGAGATACCCAGCTTATCTCATTAGGACTGGTTAGACAGTGGGTGAGCTGAAGCAGGGTGGAATGTCACCTCACCTGGGAACCACAAGGGGTTGGGGAACTCCCTCCCCTAGCCAAGGGAAGCCATGAGGGACTGTGCTGTGAGGAATGGTGAATTCCGGCCCCAGATACTAAGCTTTTCCCATGGTCCTTGCAACCCACAGACCAGGAGATTCCCTCGGGTGCCTACATCATCAGGGCCCTGGGTTTCAAACACAAAACTGGGTGGCCGTTTGGGCAGACACTGAGCTAGCTGCAGAAGTTTTTTTCTCATACCCCAGTGGCACTTGGAATGCAAGTGAGACAGAACCATTCATTCCCCTGGAAAGGGGGCTGAAGCCAGGGAGCCAAGTGGTCTAGCTCAGTGGATCCCACCCCCATGGGGACAAGCAAGCTAAGATTCACTGGTTTGAAATTCTCCCTGCCAGCACAGCAGTCTGAAGTCGACCTGGGATGCTCGAGCTTGGTGGGGGGAGGGGCATCAACTATTACCGAGGCTTGAGTAGGCAGTTTTACCCTTACAGTGTAAACAAAGCCGCGGGGAAGTTGGTGGAGGCTGCTGCAGCTCAGCAAAACCACCGTAGCCAGACTGCCTCTCTAGATTCCTCCATTTTGGACAGGGCATCTGTGAAAGAAAGGCAGCAGTCCCACTCAGGGGCTCATAGATAAAACTACTCTATCCCTGGGAGAGAGCACCTGGGGGAAGGCGTGGCTGTGGGTGCAGCTTCAGCAGGCTTAAACATTCCTGCCTGCCAGCTCTGAAGAGAGGAGGGGATCTCCCAGAACAGAGCTCGAGCTCTGCTAAGGGACAGACTGCCTCCTCAAGTGGGTCCCTGACCCTTGTTCCTCCTGCCGGGGAGACACCTCCCAGCAGGTATCAACAGATATCTCATACAGGAGAGCTCCAGCTGGCATCTGGCAGGTGCCCCTCTGGGATGAAGCTTCCAGAGGAAGGAAAAGGCAGCAATCTTTGCTGTTCTGCAGCCTCACCTGGTAATACAAAGGCATACGGGGTCTGGAGTGAACCTCCAGCAGACCTGCAACAGAGGGGCCTGACTGTTAGAAGGAAAACTAACAAACAGAAAGGAATAGCATCAACATCAACAAAAAGGACTTCCACCCAAAAACCCCATCTGAAGGTCACCAACATCTAATACCAAAGGTAGATAAATCCATGTAAGTGAGGAAAAAACAGCACAAAAAGGCTGAAAATTCCCAAAACGAGGAAAAATAAAATCCTTTACAGAGAAGCAAATGCCGAAAGATTTTGTCACTACGAGGACTGCCTTACAAGAACTTCTGAAGGAAGCACTAAATATGGGAAGGAAAAACTGGTACCAGCCACTGCAAAAACATTGCAAATTGTAAAGAACATCGACACTATGAAGAAACCGCATCAACTAATGGGCAAAATAAGCAGCTATCATCATAATGACAGGATCAAATTCACACATAATAATATTAACCTTAAGTGTAAACAAGCTAAATGCCCCAATTAAAAGACACAGAGTGGCAAATTGGATAGAGTCAAGATGCATCGGTGTGCTGTTTTCAGGAGAACCGTCTCATGTGCAAAGACACACATAGGCTCAAAATGCAGGGATGGAGGAATATTTACCAAGCAAATGGAAAGCAAAAGAATTCAGGGGTTGCAATCCTAGTCTCTGATAAAACAAACTTTAAACCAACAAAGATAAAAAAAGACAAAGAAGGGCATTACATAGTGGTAAAGGGATCAATGCAACCAGAAGAGCTAACTATCCTGAATATGTATGCACCCAATACAGGAGAACCCAGATTCATAAAGCAAGTTCTTACAGACCTACAAAGAGACTTAGATTCCTACACAATAATAGTGGGAGACATTAACACTCCACTGTCAACATTAGACAGATCAATGGACAGAAAATTAACAGGAATTTTAAATATTCCTGGAATATTTAATATTCAGGAATTGCTGTCAGCTCTGGACCAAGCAGACCTAGTAGCTGTCTACAGAACTCTCCACTGCAAGTCAACAGAATATTTATTCTTCTCAGCACCACATCACACTTATTCTAAAATCGACCACATAATTGGAAATAAAACACTCCTCAGCAAATGCAAAAGAACGGAAATCCTAAGTCTCTCAGACAACAGGGCAATCAAATTAGAACTCAGGATTAAGAAACTCACTCAAAACTGCACAACTACATGGCAACTGAACAACCTGCTCCTGAATGACTACTGGGTAAATAACAAAATTAAGGCAGAAATAAATAAGCTGTTTGAAACCAATGAGAACAAAGACACAACATACCAGAATTTCTGGGACACAGCTAAAGAGGGAAATTTATAGCACTAAATGCCCACAGGAGAAAGTGGGAAAGATCTAAAATCAACACCCTAACATCACAATTAAAAGAACTAGAGAAGCAAGAGCAAACAAATTCAAAAGCTAGTAGAAAACAAGAAATAACTAAGATCAGAACAGAACTGAAGAAGATAGAGACATGAAAAACCCTTCAAAAAATCAATGAATCTAGGAGCTGGTTTCTTGAAAAGATTTACAAAATAGACCACTAGCCAGACTAATAAAGAAGAAAAGAGAGAAGAATCCAATAGACACAGTAAAAAATGATAAAGGGGATATCACCCCTGATCCCACAGAAATACAAACTACCATCAGAGAATGCTATAAACACTTCTACGCAAATAAACTAGAAAATCTAGCAGTGGATAAATTATTGGACACATACACCCTCCCAAGGCTAAACCGGGAAGAAGTCGAATCCCTGAATAGATGAATAACAAGTTCTGAAATTGAGGCAGTAATTAATAGCCTACCAACAAAAAAAAGCCCAAGACCAGATGGATTCACAGCCGAATTCTAACAGAGGTACAAAGAGGAGCTGGTACCACTCCTTCTGAAACTATTCCAAACAATAGAAAAAGAGGAACTCCTCCCTAACTCATTTTATGAGGCCAGCATCATCCTGATACCAAAGTCTAGCAGAGACACAACAAAAACAGAAAATTTCAGGCTAATATCCCTGATGAACATCGATGTGAAAATCTTCAATAAGGTACTGGCAAACCGAATCCAGCAGCACATAAAAAAGTTTATCCACCACGATCAAGTCAGCTTCATCCCTGGGATGCAAGGCTGGCTCAACATATGCAAATAAATAAATGTAATTCATTAGATAAAGAGAATGAATGACAAAAACCACATGATTATCTCAATAGATGCAGAAAAGGCCTTTGATAAAATTCAACACCCCTTTATGCTAAAAACTCTCAATAAACTAGGCATTAATGGAACGTATCTCAAAATAATAACAGCTATTTATGACAAACCCACAGCCTATATCATACTGAATGGACAAAAGCTGGAAGCATTCCCTTTGAAAACCAGCAGAAGACAAGGATGCCTTCTGTCACCACTCCTATTCAACATAGTATTGGAAGTTCTGGCCAGGGCAATCAGCCAAGAGAAAGAAATAAAGCATATTCAAATAGGAAGAAAGGAAGTCAAATTGTCTCTGTTTGCAGATGACATGATTGTATATTTAGAAAACCCCATCATCTCAGCCCAAAATCTCCTAAAGCTGATAAGCAACTTCAGCAAAGTCTCAGGATACAAAATCTATGTGTCAAAATTAGAAGCATTCTTATACACCAGTAATACACAGAGAGCTGAATCATGAGTGAACTCCTTTTCACAATTGCTACAAAGAGAATAAAAAACCTAGGAATACAACTTACAAGGGATGTGAAGGACCTCTTCAAGGAGGACTACAAACCACTGCTCAAGGAAATAAGAGAGGACACAAACGAATAGAAAAACATTCCATGCTCATGGATAGGAAGAATCATTTATAGATTCAATGCTATCCCCATCAAGCTACCACTGACTTTCTTCACAGAATTAGAAAAAATTACTTTAAAGTTCATATGGAACCAAAAAAGAGCCTGTATAGCCAAGACATTTCTAATCAAAAAGAACAAAGCTGGAGGCATCATGCTACCTGACTTCAAACTATTCTGCAAGACTGCAGTAACCAAAACAGCATGGTACTGGTCCCAAAACAGATATATAGACCAATGGAAATGAACAGAGGCCTCAGAAATAATGCCACACGTCTACAACCATCTGATCTTTGACAAACCTGACAAAAACAAGCAATGGGGAAAGGATTCCCTAATCAATAAATGGTGTCGGGAAAAACTGGCTAGTCATATGCAGAAAACTGAAACTGGACCCCTTCCTTACATCTTATACAAAAATTAACTCAAGATAAAGACTTAAATGTAAGGCCTAAAACCATAAAAACCCTAGAAGGAAACCTAGGCGGTACCATTCAGGGCATAGGCATGGGCAAAGACTTTGTGACTAAAACACCAAAAGCAATGGCAACCAAAGCCAAAATTGACAAATGGGATCTAATTTAACTAAGGAGCTTCTGCACAGCAAAACAAACTGTCATCAGAGTGAACAGGCAACCTACAGAATGGGAGAAAATTTTTGCAATCTACCCATCTGACAAAGGGCTAATATCCAGAATCTACAAGAAACTTAAAAAAATTTACAAGAAAAAAAAACCATCAAAAAGTGGGCAAAGGAGAGGAACAGACGCTTCTCAAAAGAAGACATTTATGTGTGCAAAAAACATATGAAAGAAAGCTCATCATCACTGGTCATTAGGGAAATGCAAATCAAAACCACAATGAGATACCAGCTCACGCCAGTTAGAAGGGCAATCATTAAGAAGTCTGGAAATAACAGATGATGGAGAGAATATGGAGAAATAGGGATGCTTTTACACTGTTGATGGGAGTGTAAATTAGTTCAACCATTGTGGAAGACAGTATGGCGATTCCTCAAGGATCTAGAACCAGAAATACTATTTGACCCAGCAATCCCATTACTGGGTATATACCCAAAGTATTATAAATCGTTCTACTATAAAGACACATGCACATGTATGTTTATTGCAGCAGTATTCACAATAGCAAGGGTTGGAACCAATTCAAATGCCCATCAGTGATAGACTAGATAAAGAAAATGTGGCACATATACACCATGGAATACTATGCAGCCATAAAAATGGATGAGTTCATGTCTTTTGCAGGGACATGGATGAAGCTGGAAACCGTCATTCTCAGCAAATTAACACAGGAACAGAAAACCAAACACTGCATGTTCTCCCTCTAAGTGGGAGTAGAACGATGAGAGCACATGGACCCAGGGAGGGGAACATCACACACCGGGGCCTGTTGGCGGCTGGGGGGTCTGGGAGAGGGATAGCATTAGGAGAAATACCTAATGTAGATGACAGGTTGATGGGTGCAGCAAACTACCATGGCACGTGTATACCTATGTAACAAACTTGCACATTCTGCACATGTATCCCAGAACTTAAAGTGTATCTATTAAAAAAAACACTTCACAAAAGAAAATATAGAAATCGTCAGTAAGTCACGTCAGTAGGCATCAAGGAAATGCAGATTAAAACCACAGATTTACCATTTCATACCTACTTAAAAAGATTTATAATACCAAGTTTTAGTGAGGCTGTTCCCCTACATTTCTAGTAGAAAAAGAAATTTGTAAACCATTTCAAAGAATAGCTAGTCAGTTTTTCATTGAGTCAAACGTATACCTATTCCGTGACAAGAAATTCCACTTTTTTGGTATTTACCCAGGTAAACTGAAATCATGTCTTCAAATATCTTGGCCACAAATTTTATAACAACTTTATTCCTAATAGCCCCCAAATTCGAAACAGCCAAAATACCCATCATCAACTGAATGTATAAACATATAGTAGTCTACTCAGCAATGGAATGCTGCTCACCAATAAAAAGGAACAACATGAATGCATTTTTTAAACTGACAATCAAAGGAAGCCACACACAGAAGAGTATCTTCTGCATGATTCCTTGTATCAAAGTTCTGGAACAGGTGGCAGACATAAATACAATGGTCGTCTCTGAGAAAAACATTTGACTGGAAAGGAGCTTGAGGGAATTTTTTGAAATAACGGGAATGCCTCTATCTTGACAGTATAGTGGTTGCAGCTACATCAGTATAATATGCACTAAAATTCAATGAACTGTACACCAAAAATATATGGATTTTATTTCTTATAAATCAATTTAAAAAATTGTAGCATAAAGGTTAAATAGCATATGATTGACCCAACAAAGAAAAAAATCTGTGAACTGAAAGATACATTTAAGTAATTTACATAGAATAGAGACATAAAAACATGGAACATAAGAAAGAGAAATGAAAAGAGTTGGAGAATAGAGTGGAGTCGTAGACAAAAATCATATAGAGAATGTGGGAAAAGCAATATTTAAGAAATAGAAACTAAAAAATTTCCAGAAATTAAAAATGACACCAATCATCAGGTAAAGGGACCCCCACAATTCTAAACTGGGATAAACAAAGTTCCCATTTTACATAACAAACCACTCCAAAATATAATGGCTTAAAACAACAATAATCATTTATGATCTCAGGTTTCTGTGGGTCAGGAATTTGGAAGTGATTTTGCTTGAGGTCTCTCGGGAAGTTACAGTCAGATGGTGTCGGGGGCTGCAGTCACCTGGAGGCTCAGAGACCCATTAGACTAGAGGAACCGAATCCAAGGTGACTCCCTCATGTGCTGCAAGCTGATGCTGGCTGTTAGTTGGGTGCCTTAATTCTTCTCCAGGTGGGCCTCTTCCTGGGACTGATTGAATAACTCATGGCAGCTGGCTTCCCTCTGGGTGGGTCATCCAAAAGACAATGAAAAAGCTACAAAGCTTTTGGAAGACCTGCTCTTGAAAGTCACACACTAGCACTTGCAGTGTATTCTGTTGGCTACACAGGGCCTGCTCTAATTCATTGTGGGATGAGACGCTTCAGAATAGCAAAAGGATATCACAGATGTTTGCTATTGTAGTAGTGAAAGTACAAAACAAAAACAAACATAAAGTCTTAAGAGTTATCCCAAGGAGAAAAGATAGTTTATATATAAAGGAATAAAAATTAAGCTTTCAGCTGACACCTCAACAGCAACAATAGAAGCTAGAATGCAGTAGAATTTAAAGTTCTGAAAAAAAGTAAATGAAAAACTCCATGTCCAGGGAAACTGTCTTTCAGAAAGGGTGAAAGAAAGACATTTTCAGACAAAGATAAAGGGTGTTTACTTCTACATACAAAGGATATGCTTAAGAGAGAAGAAAAATGATCCCTGATGAAGGATCTGATATGCCACAAGGAGTGGTGACCACAAAGAAATGGTAAACATGTTACCATGTTAAAAAATTATGGCATAAAGTAATAATTATTCCAATAGATAATATTAAAATGTAAAAAAGGTGAAATAACTGAACAACAGTAGCATGCAAACTGAGAGTGGGTATAATGGGAATTAAAATAGAAGGATCAAATTCTTTTTTTGAGAAAATGTTATTTTAAAAGAAGGCCGCAAAGGAAACAGAAAATCCAAAAATAATCAAAGAGAAAGCATAAATTAAGGAAACAGAAAAGAGATCCAGTATATGTAAATGGACTTAACTCTTCAGGCAAAAAACTATTGTCAAATACATTTAAAAAATAAAAATTGGCCAGGTGCAATGGCTCAAGCCTGTAATCCCAGCAGTTTGGGAGGCTGAGGCGAGCGGATCATGAGGTCAGGAGATCGAGACCATCCTGTCTAACATGGTGAAACCCCATCTCTACTAAAAATACAAAAAATTAGCCAGGCATGGTGGCAGGCACCTGTAGTCCCAGCTCCTTGGGAGGCTGAGGCAGGAGAATGGCGTGAACCTGGGAGGCAGAGCTTACAGTGAGCCGAGATCGTGCCACTGCACTCCAGCCTGGGCAACAGAGCAAGACTCTGTCTCAAAACAAACAAACAAACAAACAAAAATCACCTATGTGATGTTTACAGGAGATATGCTTAAAATATGAGGATGCACAAAGGTTAGAATTAAAAGGGTGGAATTCCTAGAGATAAATGGGGTTACCACATGATCATGAAAGGCCAATTTCACCAAAGTGATATGAAAATCCTAATATTCTATTTACCTAATAAAATTCTTCAAAAATAAAAATAATAGGAATTTGGCAGATAAGGACATATGAGCAATTGCAGAAATTTTAATATATGTTCCTCAGGAACTGGTAGAACATTTAGATCCAAAATCACTAAAGCTTTAGAAGATGTATAAAACACAAATAATACACTTCATCTAATGGGCTTGTAGAATATTGTTCCCAATAGGTGGAGAATACACATTAACAAAATTTGATCATATACTGGGACATTAAGCAAGTTTCATCAAGTAGCAAAAATGGGAACTGATTGGGCTGGCAGCCCAGCCAGAGCTGTTTTAGCTGAGGCTTCTGAGCGGACTGCAGTGGGATGGAGTCTGGAAAGGGTGGCCTAGGGTGGGGTGCGCCCTGTGGCAGTACAACAGGACTTCCATCTGGGTGATGGACACTGTGGGCAGTCCAGTTTTGGACACAATGTCTTATAAGAATGACTTTGGTCTCATTCTGCAAATTCCTATAAGTGGCATTTTCATCCTCCTTCATCAATTCTTGGCAATATCTATGAGGGGTCAGATACCTAAGGGAGGCAAGTAAGGGAAAGTTTGCTGGTCTGTTTGTTTTTTCAGCAGAGGAAAACCAGGGAAAGCCCAGGAAAAAAAAGGCCTAAATAAGAGGAGAAAAGTCTGGGTTTGGAAGTGTGTCTTTGGAGTCTGTAATGGTGTGTCCTTTCTTAATAATTATAGATGATGAGTTTGTGGTGAGGGATTAAGACCTCATTCTACTCTTATTCCTTAGTCATGATTGAGATTGTCAGCCTGATTTTTTCCAAAATGAATCTCACCTGGGTTCGAGCTGTTTTTATCAGAAATCACACTGAGTGGAGATTAAAGAACTAAAGGATCATGGAAACTCTCACATCATTATATCTTTCCTGCCCATCCCAGAGTTTCCTATATCTTACTGCACTTTTCAGGCCAAGAAGAGCTGATGAAGGTTAAGAACCTTTCTTCTGGTTGTAGTGAATGAATCAATAACAATATTAAGATTATGACAATACTTAAAGAATTTAAAAGAAAGCCCACTTTGTTCTCAACCTATGCAGCATTTATATAATAGCTAGCCTTTTTTGCAATTCTTCAGGAGAAAACTTGGTTTTACTCTAACAAATAATAATCCAATAAATCTCAGCTGCTGCTCATCAATAAATGTCCTATATGAATGTATTAACTCATGTGAGTAATGCACCTCAGCTAAAATTCAGAGCCTGCCCACATGCTTTTGCACAGGATGTGTTAACAGAGCAACTTAATCTTACTTATATTGAGTATAAGAAAATATAATACAAGACATATTAAACGTTGATATTATTGCCTGTCATCTATCTGCCTGTCTATACTGATAGCCCTATAATGGCAAACTATGCTAGGGTGTTTACTGTTGAACTTAGCATGTTGCTTAGCATATAAGAATGAATGAAACCAAAAGTTATTTGAAAAGATCAATAAAATCAATGTCTCTATCCAGATTAACTAAGAAAAAAAAAGAGTGAAAGAGTGAAGATATAAATTACTAATATCAGAAATGAAAGAGGGCACATGAATTCCATATATTTCATGGATATGGATTCTACATATTCCATGGATATTAAGTTAATAATAAAAGAATACTGTGAACTGTGAAGAGCTCTGTGTCTACAAATTTGATAATCTAGATGAAATGGACTAATTCCTTGAAAGACACAATCTGTCAAAAGTCACACAAGAGGAATAGGCAATCTGAATAGGCCTATATCTATTAAAGAAGTTAAATCAATAATTAATAACCTTCTAGAGCACAAAGAACCAGGCTTAGATGGGTTTATTGGTGAATTCCAGTCAACATTTACATAAGAAATTATACTGATTCTCTACCATGTCTTTCAGAAGATAAAGCAGAAGGAATACTCCATAACTGATTTTATGAGGCCATTATTACTCTAATACCAAAAGCAGACATAGACATTCCAGGAAAAAAAATAAAAAACTACAGACCAATATCTCCCATGAATATAGATGCAGAAGCTCCCAGCAAAATATTGGCAAACAGAATCCAACAATGTATACAAAGGATTATATACCACAACCAAGTAAAATTTATTCCAGGTATTCAAGACTGGTTCAATATTTGAAAATCAATGAATATAATCCATTACACCAGCAGGCTGAAAAAAAAGCATTATATTATCATATCAATAAATGCAGAAAAGCCATTTGACAAAGTCAAATACTCATCCATGATAAAAACTCTCAGTAAACTAGGAACAGAGGAGAACTTTCTCGACATGATAAAGAATATCTACAAAAAGCCTACAGCTCACATCATACTTAATGGTGAGAAACCAGAAACTTTTCCACTAAGATCAGGAATAAGGCAAAGATGTCTTCTCTTACCACTCCTTTTCAATATCACACTGGAAGTCCTAGTTAATGCAGCAAGACAAGGAAATACAGGGCATATGGATTTGGAAGAAAGAAATAAAAGTCTTTGCTCACAAATGATATGATTATCTATGTAGAAAATCTTAAAGAATCAACAACAACAACAAATTTCATGGAACTAAAAAGCACTTACAGCAAGGTTGCAGGATACAAGGCTAACATGCAAAAATCAATCACTTTCCTATATACTAGCAATGAACAAGTAGAATTTGAAGTTAAAAACACTATACCATTTGCATTAGTACTCACAAAAATGAAATAGGTTTAAATATAACAAAATATATGTAAGATCTATGAGGAAAACTACAAAATTTTGATGAAAGAAATGAAAAAAAACTAAAATGGAGAGTATTCCATGTTCATCGATTGAAAGACTCAGTATTGTTCAAAGAAAAACTTCAGCTGAATTAAATGTAAAGGAATTTAACTGATCAATGAGTGATTCATGAATTGGGCAGCCCCAGAATCACAGCAGATTCAGGGAGACTCCCGGGGTGCCTCATGGTCAGAACAAATGTACAGACAAAAAAAGGGAAGTGACGTACAGAAATCGGAAGGTGTAGAAACAGCTGGATTGGTTACAGGTCTTCCTTATTTGAACACAGTTTGAACATTCAGCAGCGTATGAGTAGTTGAAGTATGGCTTCTGGGATTGACTAAGACTCAGCTGTTGTTACAAGTGCATACTCCTAAGTTAGGTTTTCAATCTTGTCTACCTACTAGGTTAGGTTGCAGTTCATCCACAAGGACTCAAATATAGAAATATGGAGTCCTTCTCAGGCCATATTTAGTTCTCTTTAACAGTATCCGTAAGATATCAGTTCTTCCCAACTTGATCTATAAATTCAATTCAATTTGTTTGGGAGGCTGAGGTGGGCGGATCACAAGGTCAGGAGATCAAGACCATCCTGGCTAACACAGTGAAACGCCGTCTCTACTAAAAATACAAAAAATTAGCCGGGCATGGTGGCGGGTGCCTGTAGCCCCAGCTACTCGGGAGGCTGAGGCAGGAGAATGGTGTGAACCCGGGAGGTGGAGCTTGCAGTGAGCCGAGATCTCACCACTGCACTCCAGCCTGGGCAACAGAGCAAGACTCCGCCTAAAAAAAAAAAAAAATTCAATTCAGTTTCAATCAAAATCTCAGCAGGTTATTTTGTGTACAGTGAGAAACTCATTCTAAAATTTATATATGGAGGCAAGAGACCCAGAATAGCCAATGTAACATTGAAGGAAAACAAAGTTGGAGGACTGACACTTCCCAATGTCAAGACATACTATAAAGCTACCATACTGAAGACAGTGTGGAATTGACAAAAGGAAAGACAAATAGATCAATGGAACAAAATATAGAGCCCAGAAATAGATCCATGTAAACATAGTCAATTGATGTTTGACAAATAAGCAAAGCAATACATGGAGCAAAGATAGTCTTTTCAGCAAATACTGCTGGAACAATGCGACATCCAGACGCTAAAAAGTAAATCTAGATACAGACCATGTACCCTTCATGAAAATTAACTCAAAATGGATCAAAGACCTAAATGTATAATGCAAAACAATAAAACTCCTAGAAGATAACATAGGAGGAAATCTAGAGGACTATGAATATGGCAATGACTTTTTAGATACAACACCAAAGGCAAGATCCATGAGAGAAATAATTGATAAACTGGACTTCATTAAAATTAAAAGCTTCTTGACTGGGCCCAGTGGCACATATCTGTAATCCTAGCACTTTGAGAAGCCAAGTTAGGTGGATCACTTGAGCTCAGGAGTTTGAGAGCAGCCTGACCAACATGGTGAAACCTCATCTCTACAAAAAACACAAAAAAATTAGCTGGGCGTGGTGGCTCACACCTGCAGTCCCAGCTACTTGGGAGCCTGAGGTGGGAGGATTGCCTGAGACCAGGAGGTTGCGGCTGCATTGAGCAGAGATCATGCCACTGCACTCCAGCCTGGGTGACAGAGTGAGACCCTGTCTCAAAACAAACAAACAAACAAACAAACCAAACGAAAACTTCTGCTCTGTGAAAGACTGTTAAGAGAATTAGAAGACAAGCCACTGACTGGGAGAAAATATTTGTAAAAAACATACTTGATAAAGGATTATTATAAAAATATATAAAATGCTTTAAACCATAAGAAAACAAACAACTTGATTAAATAATGGGCAAAAGACCTGAAGAGACACCTCACCACAGAAGATATACAGATCTCAAATAAGCATATGAAAGATGTTCAAAATCATGAGTCTTTCGGGAATTGCAAATCAAAGCAATGAGATACCACTACACACCTATTAGAGTGGCTAAATTCTAGAACAATGGCAACACCAAACGCTGATAGGAATGCAAATGGTTCAGCCACTTTGACAGGCAGTTTGGAAGTTTCTTGCATAACGACTCATACCTTTACCATATGATCCAACAATCACGTTTCTTGATATTCATGGAAAGCAGTTGAAAACTTCTGTTTACACAAAAAACTATACACAGAAGTTTATAGCAGCTTTAGTCATAACTGCCAAAACTTGGAAGCAGCCACAGTATCCGTCAGTAGGTGAATGGGTAAACAGTGCTAAATCCAGACAATGGAGTATTTTTCAGTGCTAAAAAGAAATGAGTTATCAAGCCGCGAAAAGATGCGAAAAAACAAAATGCATATTATTAAGTGAAAAAAGCCAATCCACAAAGCTTACATACTTCATTATTCCAACTAAATGACATTTTGTAAAAGGCAAAACTATTGGAGACAGCAAAAAGATTAGTGGTTGGTGGGGTTTGGGGCAGGGGAGTAGAAATGAATAGGCAGGACACAGAGGATTTTTAGGGCAGTGAAAATACTCTGTATGATACTGCAGCGGTGGATACCTGTCCATATACATGTGTCCAAATCCATAAAATATGCATCACTAAGAGTGAATCTTTATGTAACAGGTGGACTTTGGGTGTTCATGATGTATCAATATAGGTTCCTTGATTGTAACAAGTGCTTCTCTCTGGCGAGGGATGTTGATAATGGGGAAAGCTATTTATATATGGGAGCAGGAATTATATAGGAAATCTCTGTGTCATTCCTTTCAGTTTCACTGATTGCTCTAAAAAAGTGAAGTCTTAAAAATTTTACTAAATCGCCACTTTACCAGATTAAATGAGAAAAACATTATATAACTACCTTAATAGACGCTGAGAGAATTTTAACGTATTTCTACATTCAGTGCTTAGTTTGCTAAGATATTTTATCTTAGTGTATTAATAAGAAAAAAATTTTATTAACCTAATGAATGATACCTTAGAAAATTTAGGGCAAACACTGTACATAATTATGAGACATTGGAAGTATACCACTAACTCTCAAAAGTCAGTGGTATAAGTACTTCTATTTGGTATTTTACAGGAGGTCCCAATGCAGAAAACTATGAATAAAATTAAAAGATGGATTGAAAAGTGAACAATAAAACCTTCCAGGTGATATGATTAAATCTATGGAAATCCCAAATGTAACAAGAGGCCAGGCACAGTGCCCGTAATCCCAGCGCTTTGGGACACCCGAGGAGGGAGGATTGCTTGAGTTCAGGAGTTCAAGATCAGCCTGGGCAACATGGTGAAACCCCGTCTCTACAAAAAATATAAAAATTAGCTGGGTGTGGTTGTTCACGCTTGTAGTTTTGCCTACTTGGGAGGCTGAGATGGGAGGATTGCTTTAGCCCAGGAGGTTGAGGCTGCAGTGAGCCAAGATCATGCCACTGCACTCCAGCCTGGGTGACTGAGTGAGACCCTGTCTCAAAAAAAAAAAAAAAAAAAAAAAAAGTAACAACAGGGTAAATAGATAACCTACAGATGGGAGAAAATTTTTGCAAACTAGGCATCTGACACAAGTCTAACATCCAGGATCTATAAGAAACTTAAACAAATTGACAAGAAGAAAAGCAATCCCATTTAAAAATTGGCAAGGGACATGAACAGACACGTCTCAAAGAAGACATACATGTGGCCAACAAGCATATGAAAAAAATGCTCAACATCACTAATCATGGGAGAAGTGCAAATAAAAACCACAGTGAGATACTATCTCACACCAGTCATAATGGCTAACATTACAAAATCAAAAAATAACATACTGGCAGGGTTGCAGAGAAAAGAGAACACTTACACTGCTGAGGGGATTGTAAATTAGTTCAGCTATTGTGGAAAGCAGTGTGGCAATTTCTTAAAGAACTTAAAATTACCATGCAACCCAACAGTCTCATTATTGGGTATATACCCAAAGGTATATAAATCATTCTACCATAAAGACACATGCACACATATGTTCATTACAGCACTATTCCCAAGAGCAAAAACATGGAATCAACCTAAATCCCCAACAACAGTAAAGAAAATGTTGTACATATATAACATGGAATACTACACAAACATAAAAAGTAATGAAATCATGTACTTCGCAGCAACATGGTTGGAGCTGGAGGGCATTATTCTAAGAGAACTAACACAGGAACAGAAAACCAAATACTGCATGTTCTCACTTATAAGTGGGAGCTAAATATTGAGTATATATGGACACAAAGAAGGGAATAATAGGCACCAGGACCTACTTGAGGGTGGAGGATAGCAGGAGGGAGAGGATCAAAAAACTACCTATCAGGTACTATGCTTATTACCTGGATGATGAGATAATCTGTACACCAAACCCCTGTGACTCACAATTTACTTATATAACAAACCTGCACATGTATACATGGACCTAAAATAAAAGTTAAAAAAAAGATTCAAATAGAGAGTTTAGTATAGTTGTGGATGTAAGATTAATAATACAATAACTTAGTGTATTTTTAAATACCAGAAACATAGTTGATACATAGGCATAAAAATGCCATTTACAAAAAGCACGGAAATATGTATCTAGAGCTAACTCTAACAAAAGTGTATAAAAGCTTTATTGAGAAACGTAAAAATTTATGGAAAGATGTTTAAAAGACCTAAATTAATAGGTAATATGGCTTTTTATCTCTTCTGGTTACAGAGCTAGACAGTATATCTCAGACTTCTTTCTGGTTAGTTGTGACCTTGTGGCATAGTTCTAGATAGTGAAATGTGAGCAAAAGTGATGTTTACCACTATCAGACCTGAACTGTAAAAATTGTTTGCAGCTGATCTTTATGCACTCTTTCTGGCTTGTTAATGAACATAGCCAATTGGAAGTTGACACAGCCCTAAGATGGAAGAAACCTGCATTTCTGAATCACTCCTCAGCTACAAATTAAATACACTTCCAATGGAAATTCCAGCAGAACTTTTTGTGAAGCTTGGCAAACTGATTCTAAAACTTATGTAGAGTAACCAAGGGCCAAAAATAGACAACACATTTCTGAAGATAAACAAGGAGAACAGTGTGGGAATAAATTGCTCCCTCAGATATGAGAACTAATTATAATGCTATAACTCAAACTATTAGTGGAGGAAAGGCAAGTTAAGACCACAGTGATTTTATACTCACAGGTGGCAAAAAATATAAAGTTTATATTACTAAATGATGGTGAAGATGTAGAGCGGTCAGAACTCTTATACAAAGGGGTGGCAATATCATACAATCCCTTTGGAAAATTTTGGCAATATCTAGTAAAGTTGGAGAAACCGTGTCTTTGACCCAGCATTTTTACTCTTGTATACATTTCTACTGCGTAACCTAGAAAATGATGTTAATAGAAGCATTTTTGCAATAATACACGATTGGAAATAACACACATCTTTCAACAGCAAAATGGACAAAAATTCATGCTATGTTAATCCAATGGTGTTATAATACAGCAGTGAAAATAGTGGACTATATAGAGTATAGATTAAATTGACAAATATAATTTTTCAGTAAAAAAGACATTTGCCCAAGATCAAATATGTTAAGATTTATCTAAAATTTAAAAAAACTATAAAGTATTTAAGGATACTAGATTTGTGGATAAATTAGAAATCAATGCAAGCAAACGGTGAACACAAAAGTCAGGGTAGTGGGACCTCTGGGCAGTGAGCAAGAGGGCACTGTGGGAGGAAGACAGAAGGCTTCTGTGTTGGTTCTGTTTAGTTATTAAACTGTTGGTAGGTGCAGGGGTGTTTTTATTCTCATGCTTTATAACTTGTTTATGTGTCACATTATTTTGTATGTATCAATTATTTTTTAAATTGAAAATTAAAAATAATCACCAACTCAAACCATATTTGTATTGCCAGACCATTATTAGCCAGACCATTATTAGCTGTACTTGACAGTTAAGTTTCTCTCACCAATGTGCTTAACACATGCTGTTGCTTCTCACTTAAACACCTTCTACTTCCTCATCAATTTATATAAGAAGATTCCCTTTGAACCTGGTTCAAATTTTACTATAGACAAGTATCCATGACCTTCCTAAACCTCATTATGTCTTACTAAAACTGACGTTAATGATTATCTCTTCATTCAATTCTTTTTTTTTTTTCACCAAACACAGGTTGAACATCTGTGTTGCAAATGCTATAGGGGTACAAAATGTATAGGATACATTGCCTTTTCGAAGGAGCTAGATTTATTCACAACTAGACACCACTGGCACCAGGGTTGTAATTCTGGAATATAAAAAGTGTTACAGAACCTCACAGGAGAAGGGAATTGGTTCTGTAAATTCAAGTAAGACTTCAAATAAGTGGTGGCATATGAGATGAGCCTCAAAAAATATTTCCTGTTTGTCCTGGGGTATGCAAGTCTTCCCTTCATCTCGCCCACCTTCTACTAAATACTCTTAGGTATTTCAGCTGAATCTGTACACCAAACATAAAGAGTGGGTCATTACTTGGAAAGACTCATTCATCCCATATCTTAGCCTCTTTCACTTTCACTTCCACTCAATCAAAACCATCCATTGTTGCCTCTTTTAGTGGATGGACGTTAGTAGCAGAAAGACATTAAATCAACTTTGGTTGTTGGTGGACAGGTTAAACAGATTCCATTTTACCCTTGTCTAGACTTGGGTAAAGGAAGTACACTAAAAATGCCACATAAATATTTTTTTGGAATGGCATGTCACCGTGAATCATCTGGTTTAATTAGACTGGCCATTTTGTGTCCATTTTTATGTGACCAAGAGAACCAATATCTGACAAATTTACTGACCCAGAGAGAAATTTCTGGGAAAGAGTTCATACTTACTGGATACCAGCTCCAGCAAGCCACAATGCAAATTTTTCTATTTCTGAATGATACAATCATCAGTGCAGATTTAGAATCATTTTAAAACCTTCTAGTTTATTAAAATCTTTGGAGATGATGTTTTCAGCATGATGTACGCCATCGTTAATAATGAGAATTTAATAGAGACAAGGGCAAACCTGTGTACAACTTCCTCAGGTACTCGTCTTGAAACCTCAGTTTTGCTAGTAGAATTTGAAAAAAAAGGGGGGGTGCTCTTCTTGAAACCTCAGTTTTGTTAGTAGAATTTGAAAAAAAAGGGGAGGGTGTCTATTTTCTTGTCTCCTAGATTGATCCCTTTAAAACATGTCAGGCCATGCCATACCCCTTCTGTTAATCTTACTGTGATTTCTTAGAAAAGAAAAAAATCTGAAGTTATTTCTGTGGTTTACAAACCCACAATGCTCTCACTTCTTGCCTCTCTTCCCCTCATCCATTTTTGCCCAGCCACGCTGGCCTTCTTGCCAGTTCTTGATCCTGCCATGCATAATTCCATCTCAGGCCTTTTCACTGGCTCTTCCTTTTGGTGGCACGACTGCCGCTCGGATGCTTACAGAGCTCTCTTACTTACCTCACTGAGATTTCTACTCAAATCTGCTCAAATGCTACCGCCTCAGTGAGTCTTTTTGGTATATAGTGGTACTCAATAAATATTCATTGAGTTATTTATTAACTTTCTGTTGTCTAGAAGAGCTGGGGTGAAAAAAGACTGAGACTTTCTGGTAGTATCCATGGTGGTACAAGACAGACATAGCGTGATTTTTATAGAAAATATACAAAACTTGATGTAGAAGATTTGGGGCCTTCTATATTAGGCACTTGTCTTAAATAGGTCTGAGTGTCCAGTTTCCGCTGACGAAATGGATTAGACCAAAGTTGATATGATCAAAGGAGATAAAGAAAGCGATACATTTACATCAGTCTTGAAATTTTAATATAAGTATTGCCATCTCTTTAGGCCAATATGCAAATATTACAAAAGCTAAACCAGCAATTCAAATGGAAATATACCACTTTCAGAGCTAGAGAAATTCTCCTAAATAGCTGGTAAGCTTCCAGTGATCCTTATGAGGAGAACTTAAATGCAATTAATAAAGAAATGCGTCAAAAGTCTGTTATAAACCAACAAAACAATATTTTCATATTTGTGTGCATACAAATGCAGTTATAAACATTACTTTCTTGCCTTTTAAATTTCAGTCTTTATAAAATTAGCTAGGATTTTCATATTGGTTCTTTCTCTGAGGAATACGTTGATGTGCTAGTCTCAGCTGATTACAAATTTTAATTTTGTAATATTCCCAACCACACAGTAGATATAATCACTGTGAGTCATTCTGTGTGGATGAAAAAATCAGCAAAAGCCCACTTCAAATTAGATTGTTTAAATTCCTTTTTTCCAATAGGAAAATCCTTGCTGTTGTGTGATAAATACTAAAAGCAATCAGTAAAATGGTAAATTTCTAAGGGGTTTATTTAAGGTAAATTAAGATTTTAAATACCAATATTTGAATAAATAAATAGGGGCTGGATTTTATAGTTCAATGACTCATACTTTTTTTAGATGAGGGCTTATTTTGTTATGTGAACCTTGTTTATTTATTTTTTAGCCAAGATTGTTGCTGTATTATTGAGAAAGGCTATGTGAAATGTGAAATGCTGAAGCCCAGAAACAATTTGTGACTGTTTGTTTGAGGAAGGTGGAGGATAGTTTTATTAGAATAATATCTGTATATATTGGAGATGAAAAGTATTTGCTAAATACCCCTGTGAAAGAAAACCAACTGTGTGTTTTGCAGGGAAGGATTTTGATCATATACACTGCTTCGATTCAATGAGGGGCCCTTCTGTAGCTCCAGCTTTTTTTCTGTCTATTCTGTGCACGGAGTTCTTTGAATAGGGCCTCAGAGAAGAGGAAAGGTCTATTTTGCGAAAACGGAGGACGGTAGCACTGATTCATTACCCTGGGAGAGTTCCTAATCCTCAGTCAGGGCCAAGCTCAGATGTCACCTGCTAATAACATCTTCCCCAACCATCATCTCCCTAATGTTCTTGACATATATGATTTTTGCCCTATGAATTTATACTTTCTTCAATTATATCATGTATTACATGATATAATATTAATCATGTATAACATGATATAATATTAATCATGTATAACATGATATAATATTAATCATGTTTGTGTACATTTTGCTAATGCACTGAAGTCTGAGAGTTAACTTTGTATCTATAGGCCTAGCAGAAAGCCTGACCTTGACTGGGTGCTGAATGTATGTTTTCCGAATAAGTAAGTTAACGTAGATACTGCCCACCACTCACCTTCCTGAGAGACAAGAAGTGTATAGAGCCCAGACAAAGTTGGCATGATATTACCCTGACTTTGCTTTCGACTGCCAAAATGTGTAGGGTGCAGACATTGTGTATGATGGTTTTTAAAGACTGTCCAGAGTATTAAGCCCCCCTTCTCAGCATTAGTCCATTTCCCAAACTCTCAATTTTGTTTTTATTTTTACATTCATGACGGAGCTTTACTTGCTCAGGTGTCCATCATTTCTTCCTTGTCTCTTCTTCCCAAATAATACCACTTTTGAATTAAACATCTGTTTAGTCCTGCTTGCCCTGAGCTTCAAAGTTGTTGTTATGGATCCCCTTTGCTAAGCCATTCCTCCATATCCTCTAGGGGTCGTGGGCAGAGAGGTATGTGCATGGAACTTTCCGCAGTGCAACTAGATACACACCTGACCCTGCAAAGGAATACACGAGGTGGTCTCTCTGTCTCTTTGTCTGTCTGTCCGTCTGTCTGTCTCTCTCTCTCTCTCTTTGTGTGTGTGTGTGTGTGTGTGCATGGTATAAAAAGAAGGGTGGGGTGTAGAAAGCAGATTTCAGAGGTAAGAGGGAGGCTTAAAGAGGAGCATGAGTTTTATGGTTTCTGCACAATTTCTTTGCTATTCTTTACCAGGTTGACTTTGGATTTGCGAAGAAAATAGGGTCTGGACAGAAAACATGGACATTCTGTGGGACTCCAGAATATGTAGCTCCTGAAGTCATTCTCAACAAGGGACATGACTTCAGTGTGGATTTCTGGTCACTGGGAATTCTAGTGTATGAGCTCCTAACGGGCAAGTATGTACCTTCAAGTTTTATGCAGCCACCTCTTCAGAGAAATGCAAAAATAACCTAACTAGTGATAAAGTGTATATACTTTAAGAGCGTAACATTTTGAAAATGTTTTCGATTAAGTATGATACCTTTTTCTCATGACATTGTTTCACATACAGTGAACTTGCTGGTTTATAACATAAAGAAAAGATTCAGGAAGGCAAAGGAAAGGAATATAGAATTGCTGTGGTTTACCTAACGTGGCAAGACCTATTACTGTAGATAACAAATTAAGTATGAAGGCTTTAATAATTCAGCATAATAATAAGAGAAGGAATGAAAGTTCTGGGCTGTGTTATTATTTCCTCTTTTTTGTGTAATGGAGAAAACAGCAATCTGAGTTCAGTTAAATCCATTGATCAATTAAACTGAAATTATCCATCTTCCCAACATATCATTAACCAGAAATGCTAGAACAAAGCACCATTTCTGGATTTAAATTTTAATCCTCTTGTCAGCTGCTTTCTAGAGGTGCTAATGAACAGAGACAAGACACTGCAGGGGTTTTAGCAGTGAAAATTGAATTGTCATTCCCAAAGAGATTAAAGGACTGTGTTAGTGAATCCAGGATCTCAAATATTTAAATGCACATACACACATTACACACCTACGCAAACACACATACACAGGCTATATGTGATATTACCTCACATTTGTAAAGTACTTTACATTTTACAAAGCACTTACATGTGTATTATGTAGTTTAGTTCTGACAAGCTTGTGTGGAAGATAAGTTAGGAATTTTTATTATGATTATTTTATGATTTACATTTTTATTATGATTATTTTATGATTTACATTTTATAGATTAGAAAACCAGGTGAGAGAGCTACCTGTCCAAGATCAGTAACATAATACTAGATCTTCTGACTAAATGTGACGCACCTTCCTTCTATATGTGTTTATGATACAATGCATGGGCATACACACACAGAATTCAAATCAATTTTCTTTCTGGTTTTCTAGCTCCATTTCTGGTTAACTGATTTGATCATCCTTATAACCCTTTATAACCAAATATTCTCAGTCTTAATTTCAGAGAGGATTTGCATTTGGAATGGTTTAAGAAATACTAGAACGAGTCTATTGGTGAAGATACAAGTCTTAACACATACTTTATGAAAAGAGTTTCATAGAATCTTCTTGAACTTTCTACGCTACAAATTTCAGTGTTAGACTATCTGTGGCTACATTTTACACCTTGCATTGAGCAAACAAATATGAAAGACCATTTTATATTGTCTGTAATTATTTTCAAATATTCATTGCTTAAGATTCTGAAGGAAGGAAGAGAAAATATTCAGTCATTCAGAGAAAAGTTGTTTAAGGGCTTGGGCACAACGAATTCTATTTCAAAAATTTGTTTCTCTGGGAAATTTGTCAGCTGCATTTGTAAGAGATACATGCTGGCTTCTATAGGTAATCAGATATGTATGTCAGTTTTCACCAGCTGGAATAACATATTAGAAGGAGTAGGTCATAAAGAAGTTGAGAAATTGTTTTGTTTTGTTTGTTGAGACACGGTGTCACTCTGTCACCCAGGCTGCAATGAAGTGGTGTGATCACTGGTCACTGCAGCCTCCACCTTCTGGGCCCAAGCAATCCTCTTGCTTCAGCCTCCAGAGTAGATGGGACTACAGGCACATGCCACCATGCCCAGCTAATTTTTAAAATTTTTTTGCAGAAATGGTATCTTACTGTGTTACCCAGGCTGGGCTCAAGCTCCTGGGCTCAAGCAGTCCACTCATCTCAGCTTCCAAAAGTGCTGAGATTACAAGTGTGAGCCATCACACTAGGCCAAGAAACTGTTTTTGTAACAATTGTTTTGTTTGACCTGTAAATGATTTTCTGGGTAGGGCATGAGAAAGGTTAACTTTAAATGCCCTGAACTCCAGAGCATAGGAGGGAAATGAAAATTAAAAAAAAAAAAAAAACCAATAGTGTTAATATATAAATAAGTTGAATATATCATAACAATGTTTTTGGTTTCCTGCCTCATTTTCTTTACAAGTGAAATATAGTTTAGTAAAAAGTTGGTACACTGACTGTCTCGTTTATTATCTAGAGTGGGAAAGCTCAGTAACACAAGGTCTCCAGTGTGACTAATATATAGCAAAAGTAGTTCATGGAAAGTCATCTTTAATTTTCAAAAATTAAATGGCATAATAGAATAAATATGAAAGTGTTTTTATTATTTATTTATTTTTGAGATGGAGTCTTGCTGTGTTGCCCAGGCTGGAGTGCAGTGAGGCAGTCTCAGCTCACTGCAACCTCTGCCTCCCGAGTTCAAGCGATTCTCCTGCCTCAGCTTCCTGAGTAGCTGGGATTATAGGTGCCCACCACTATGCCCAGCTGATTTTTGTATTTTTAGTAGAGACAGGGTTTTGTCATGTTGGCCAGGCTGGTCTCGAACTTCTAACCTCAGGTAATCTTCCCGCCTCATTCTCTCAAAGTGCTAGGATTACAGGCGTGAGCCACCATGCCCGGCCTCGAAAGTGTTTTTGAAAGCAAAGTATATGAGTTAAAATGTTATCCAAATTCAGTGGCCAATTCTCAGTCTTTGTTTACTGATCTTAGCAGTACTTTTTAAAAAATACTCTCGGGTGGGTGTTGTGACTCGTGCCTGTAATCCCAGCACTTTGGGAGGCTGAGGCGGGCGGATCACGAGGTCAAGAAATTGAGACCATCCTGGCCAACATGGTGAAACTCCGTCTCCACTAAAAATACAAAAATTAGCTGGGCATGGTGGCGTGCACCTGTAGTCCCAGCTACCTGGGAGGCTGAGGCAGGAGAATCACTTGAACCCAGGAGGTGGAGGTTGCAGTGAGCCGAGATTGCACCACTGCACTCCAGCCTGATGACAGAGTGAGACTCCCTCTAAAATAAATAGATAAATAAATAAATAAATACTCTCTTCACTTGGCTTCTAGAATTTTCTTCCCTGTTCTTTTCCCACATTGGTGGCTCCTTCTCAGTCTCCATTGCTAGATTCTTTTCATCTTCCTACCTCTCAACATTGGACCAATTCAGTTCTTGACCTCTATTCTCTCTTTTTACCCACTCACTCTCTTGATGATACCATCAATTCTCATAGCCATAAATACTGTCTGATGACTCCGCAAGTCACACTTTGAGCCTTAACCCCTTTCCTAAATGCCTATGTCATAAATCTACCTTCCTGCTTAGCATTTCCATTTGGATGTTTAAAACATAACTCTTGATTCCCTTCCCCATAACCCGCTCTGCACACCACCCCAACTCCGTCTTTCTCCTCTTAGGAAATAACTGCAACAAGGCCAAAACACTTTAGCATCATTCTTGAATTCTTTGTTTCTCCCACATGCCTTATTCACCCCATTAGCAAACTTTGATGGCTTTACTATGTGTCTTAGTCAGCTTGGGCTGCTATAGCAAAATACTATAAACTGGGTGGCTTAAGCAGCAAACATTTATTTTTCACAGCTGCAGGTTGGAAGTCCCAGATCAGGTTACCAGGGTGGTTGTGTTATGGTGAGCATCCTAATCTGAGTTACTGCTGACTTCTCCTTGTATCCTCACATGGCCAAAAGCCAGGCAACTAGCTCCCTAGCTTTTCCTTAGAATGGCACCAGTCCCATTCATGAGGGCTTCACCCTTCTGATTTAATTACCTCCCACAGGCCTCACCTCCAAATACCATCACACTGGGATTAGGGTTTCAACAAATGAATTTGGTGGAACACAGACATTCAGCCTATTGCACAGTCTAAGTAGATGTAGAATCCAGCCATATCTCACTACTTTCAACATTACTATGCTAGGCAAGGTTACTGGGGCTCCTTGCCCCTGACTTTCTCACTACCATCATCATAGTTTATCCTCTACACATTAGGAAAACCTTACTCTGGCTGCTCTAATTTAGATCATCCTGCTCAGAATGTATCCCCAGGTCCTTCTGATAGCCCACTTCATCTATGCGATATTGTCCTCATCTATGTACTCCCCTCTTGCTTCCTCACTCCACCAGCCACACTGCCCACTTCACTATGCAGGACCTCCCAGGCCCACTCCTGACTCATGGCCTTTGTGCTTCCTGTCTTAGAACTGTCTGCCATAGGTAGTGGTGCGGTGCATTCACTTCCTTCCCTCTCTTTATTCATACGTCTGCACAATTGTCAGCCTATGAGAGGCTTTTCTTATTTACTGTATCTCAAAAAATCACACCTTCTCTGTCCCTTTCTTTATTTTATTATTAGTGATTATCGACACATGACCAATTACCTGTATGTGCATGTGTGTGTGTATTGTGTGCTAAGCGATATTAAATTAGTGAGATGATATTCTAGGATATATCTAAATTTGTTGTAAAACAACTGAGACAGAGAGAGGAAGAAATGAAAGAAGGGAGGGAAGGAAAGAAGGAAGAAAGAAAATTCATTCCAAATGTGATCTCAGACCCTGTTATTAATGTGTCCTGTTCTGGATTTTCTCTATCTAGCCCACCCTTTTCTGGGGTTGACCAAATGATGACCTACAATTTGATTCTCAAAGGAATTGAAAAAATGGATTTTCCCAGGAAGATAACACGACGACCTGAGGATTTGATTCGGAGGCTTTGCAGGTGAGAATGACAGTCAGTAACCCCTTGTCTTGAAGAAAGTCTAAAGGCTTCGGTTTCTGTTTCTACACATTTTAAAATTAGGTGCATATTTACTTTTTGTGCTGTTTTTATATAGGCAAATTATATTTGAAGGAAGTCATTTTCTGTTTTGCAGTGTAGGGGGTTTTAGTTGACCTCACATTACAGAATCACAGTACCTACTTATGAAGTAGTTTAAAAAAAGATCTAAATTTTTCAGACAACCTTTGGGTATCATCTTTATCTGTTAGAGAGCAAAATAAACCATAAACCTTAGGCTAAAAAAGGAGTAATTTACTATTTCAGCAATGAAAAAGAATGAAGTCATATCATTTTCAGCAACATGGAAGGAACTGAAGGTCATTATCTTAAGTGAAATAAGCCAGACACAAAAAGACAAATATTCAATGTTCTTGTTTCTATGTAAGAGCTAAAAAATTTGAACACATGGAGATAGAAAACGGAAATGTAGATATCAGGGACTCGGAAGGGAGAGGGGAGGCTGAAGGGAAGTGGGTTAAATAGGTAATTATACAGTAAGATAAAAGGAATAAATTCAATGTTCAAAGAGGACAATTGAATACTTAACAAAAATGTATTATACTCAGGCAACGGACATCCTTAATACCCTGAGTTGATCACTAGGCATTATATACGCGTAACGAATTTTCTCATGTGCCACATAAATTTTCACAATATAAAATAGGAGTAATTTATTTATAATAATCTTGTTATTTTGAAAGAAAATTAGTCGTGATAATGAAGTGTTATTATATGACCTCTTTCCATCTTCATTTTTTAAAAAGTGCTCCTCTGTTCTTATTTTAAATTACCCCAACTTCTACTTACCATTAAAAATAATTTATCAGAGAATAGGAGACTTCTGGATTTTTTTTGTTTAAAATTCATTTTGCTGTTTTTTTCCTATTTGAACTTTTAAAAAAGCATTACAATTTAGTATAATTTAGAACTAAAAACGTAGCTATGGGTTGCCAGTATGCTTCTAAGATTTCAGCTTAGATGTAAATGATTCTCTAAAGCTTGCCCCGGTTTTCTCAGCACAGTTGGCAAGATAGTGCCTGCTTGTTCTTTAAAGTATTTATTCATACCTTATACACACATATATATATATACACTCCGAAGTCTAATTTAACTGTGGCTCCTCCAGGGAGGAGGTCGTGTCTTTTCACCTCCCTAAACTCAGATGTCTGGTCTACAGTAGCAACTTCATGCATGTTTTTTAATGAATGAATGAATTAATTAATTAACAAATAGATGTTAAGTTTTAATTTAAAATTTTCTGAATTATAATTATTATAAATATAATTATTATAAATTGCCTTTTACAAATTATTGTTTTAGGCAAAATCCAACAGAAAGGCTGGGAAATCTGAAGAATGGAATAAATGACATTAAGAAACACAGGTACATAATTATTTCTTTGCCCAGAAAAATATAGAAATTTAGAGAACAATGTGGTACTTGCAAAAGCTTCTCTCAGGAGGCCACAAAGGTCCCTTTCCAGACTTTCAAATTTTTCTTTATAGTGCTTTGCTTTTTATCTGTGTTTTAGTAGATGTAGTTATAATAATCAATCTCAAAGTGATTTGTCTCATGCTGGAAATTCGTATCAAGAATGACTGAAGTTACAAAAGAAGTTACAAAATCACATCTTCAAGTCATAGCAAATTAACTTTTTATCCACTTCTGTCTTTATTATTCTTTAGGTTTTTTTGTTTGTTTGTTTGTTTGTTTGTTTTTCTTATGACAGAGTCTCACCCTGTTGCCCAGGCTGGAGTGCAATGCCACGATCTTGGCTCATTGCAATCTCCACCTCCTGGGTTCAAATGAGTCTCCTGCCTCAGCCTCCGGAGGAGCTGGGATTACAGGCACCTGCCACCACACCCAGCTGATTTTTGTATTTTTAGTAGAGACAGGGTTTCACCATGTTGGCCAGGCTGGTCTCAAACTCCTGACCTCATGATCCACCTGCCTCAGCCTCCCAAAGTGCTGGGATTATAGGCACAAGCCACCATGCCTGATCCTAGTATGTATTTTTGTTGATCTATACTAGCTGTACATATTTATTATACTTTGAAATATCAACTTGGAATCTGTGAAGGAATTACATTCTAATTTGGGCATTTAACTTGTAAGTAAAAGAAGATAACATTGTTGTTGCCAGTATTCAAGAGGATGGTTCACCTAAATCAACTGTGAAAAAGTATTCTATTTCAGGTTTAATTAATATATATTTATTTTAAATATAATTTTCCTTTGAATATCCTCAAATTCTTAACCCTCATATTATATTTTACTTTTTGGGTAATGGACATTGATTTCACTGGTTTCCACAGAACCTCAAACCATGCTTTATCCTTTTGCAGTAATCTGACATGTACTTTTTCAGTTCTGTGAATTTTTAAAGCTGGCCTTTAGAGCCATTGATAACCTTCATAAGACGGCCTGTTGTGGGGTGGGGGGAGCGGGGAGGGATAGCATTAGGAGATATGCCTAATGTAAATGATGAGTTAATGGGTGCAGCACACCAACATGGCACATGTATAGATACGTAACACACCTGCACGTTGTGCACATGTACCCTAGAACTTAAAGTATAATAATAAAAAAAAGACATCCTCTCTGATGTATTAAATATTCAAATGTGGCGGTTCAAACCTTCAGGTTTTGGCTTGTTAAATCAGTGCTTGGATAACTACTGCCATCTTTAAGATGTTTTCATTTTGCTCATGATTCACAGATAAAAAAATTACTTTTAAGAATATGTAGATAGTGCAAAATACATTTGAGACTTTTATTATTGAAATCCTTTGACTACACAGATATGTTCACTTTTAGAAATGAAAACACCTCATTCCTTTATAGATCTTTTCACTGAAGAAATAGGGGCACATCAACATGGTATGAACATAAAGGGAGAAGGGCTGTTGCTGAATAGAAATGCTATTCATGTTTCTTAACAGTAGCAGTACAGCTTCAAAACAAAAACAAAAAATCAACCTGCCAATTTTACTGTATGTGTTAATGAACTTACTCGACATAAAGCCATGTATTCAATACTGTAAATTCATATTGAGCTCTGCCTTAAGGATGTTTTTAGTAAGAAAGGGAGGGAGGAAACATAGGAAGGAAAGAAAGATAAAGACACATGTAGATTTTATAGAATCAAAATGCTTGTACTATTCTAATGTTCTGTGCTATCCTTTGGATTGCCTTCAGCTGTAAAGCTCATTATTTGTCTTAGATTCTAATTTATTTTCTTCCAGCGCTCCATGCTGTTATCACAATTTCTTTTCTCATCATGAAATGACACAGAAACACACTATTCATATTGAGGAAACAAGTGCTCTGTCAATTAAAGCCATTCTTCCAATATACATTCTTCCTTTCTCTCATTATGGAAGGTTCTTCATGTTATGCTTTGGCATAGCTGGGAAATAGAAGTGATATATCTGTTAACAGGCTCCAGCTTAGCTTTTACTTCTTTACCTGAGGCTCATTTAAATGTAGCTGTCAAATTGTCATTAGATGCACATGCAAATTGCTGCTAAAGGATTTTCTCACCTCAGCATAGCAATAAAGAATTTTGAATTTCCTTCCCTGTAGGGATTAATTTGTCTATTCCTTCTTAATAGGCAACATTGTCTTTGCTATATGTAATATAGACTCTGAGTGCAGAGTATAGAGTTGATTAATAAGATATACCAAATTTACGGTGTCTTCGGTTGTGTAGATGCTCAGAAGCATTTTTTCATTCTATTTTCATAGTGCTTTTTAAGCTATAAAGCTGAAGGTGGGGAACATCAGAAAACTTGATCTTTCTCTCCAAATGGGAGTGTTTAAAAACCTTCCACAAGTCTTTAAGCTGCGTAGCTTCTCTACTCAGTATATTCTTAGAGTTAAAAACAAACAAACAAACAAAAAAGCTTCTTTCTAAAGTTTGGCATCAGATTTTCTCAGTCTCTTCTAAAGTAAAACTTTTTTTTTCTTAGAGAACCAGTCACTTTAATTTTGTTTTTTTTTTCTTTTTTCTATTTGTCTCTCTTTCTTTTTTTTTATTATATTTTAAGTTTTAGGGTACATGTGCACAACGTGCATGTTAGTTACATATGTATACATGTGCCATGTTGGTGTGCTGCACTCAGTAACTCGTCATTTAACATTAGGTATATCACCAAATGCCATACCTCCCCCCTCCCCCCACCCCACAACAGGCCCCGGTGTGTGATGTTCCCATTCCTGGGTCCATGTGTTCTCATTGTTCAATTCCCATCTATGAGTGAGAACATGAAGTATTTGGTTTTTTGTCCTTGCAATAGTTTGCTGAGAATGATGGTTTCCAGCTTCATCCACGTCCCTACAAAGGACATGAACTCATCATTTTTTATGGCTGCATAGTGTTCCATGGTATATATGTGCCACATTTTCTTAATCCAGTCTATCATTGTTGGACATTTGGGTTGGTTCCATGTCTTTGCTATTGTGAATAGTGCCCCAATAAACGTACGTGTGCATGTGTTTTTATAGCAGCATGATTTATAATCCTTTGGGTATATACCCAGTAATGGGATGGCTGGGTCAAATGGTATTTCTAGTTCTAGATCCCTGAGGAATCACCACACTGACTTCCACAATGGTTGAACTAGTTTACAGTCCCACCAACAGTGTAAAAGTGTTCCTATTTCTCCACATCCTCTCCAGCACCTGTTGTTTCCTGACTTTTTAATGATCGCCATTCTAACTGGTGTGAGATGGTATCTCATTGTGGCTTTGATTTGCATTTCTCTGATGGCCAGTGATGATGAGCATTTTTTCATATGTCTTTTGGCTGCATAAATGTCTTCTTTTGAGAAGTGTCTGTTCATATCCTTCGCCCACTTGTTGATGGGCTTGTTTGTTTTTTCTTGTAAATTTGTTTGAGTTCATTGTAGATTCTGGATATTAGCCCTTTGTCAGATGAGTAGATTGCAGAAATGTTCTCCCATTCTGTAGGTTGCCTGTTCACTCTGATGGTAGTTTCTTTTGCTGTGCAGAAGCTCTTTAGTTTAATTAGATCTCATTTGTCAATTTTGGCTTTTGTTGCCATTGCTTTTGGTGTTTTAGACATGAAGTCCTTGCCCACGCCTATGTCCTGAATGGTATTGCCTAGAATTTTTCTTCTAGGGTTTTTATGGTTCTAGGTCTAACGTTTAAGTCTTTAATCCATCTTGAATTAATTTTTGTATAAGGTGTAAGGAAGGGATCCAGTTTCAGCTTTCTACATATGGCTAGCCAGTTTTCCCAGCACCATTTATTAAATAGAGAATCGTTTCCCCATTTCTTGTTTTTGTCAGGTTTGTCAAAGATCAGATGGTTGTAGATGTGCGGCATTATTTCTGAGGGCTCTGTTCTGTTCCATTGGTCTGCATCTCTGTTTTGGTACCAGTAACATGCTGTTTTTGTTACTGTAGCCTTGTAGTATAGTTTGAAGTCAGGTAGCGTGATGCCTCCACCTTTGTTCTTTTGGCTTAGGATTGACTTGGCAATCCGGGCTCTTTTTTGGTTCCATATGAACTTTAAAGTAGTTTTTTCCAATTTTGTGAAGAAAGTCATTGGTAGCTTGATGGAGATGGCATTGAATCTATAAATTACCTTGGGCAGTATGGCCATTTTCACGATATTGATTCTTCCTACCAATGAGCATGGAATGTTCTTCCATTTGTTTGTATCCTCTTTTATTTCATCGAGCAGTGGTTTGTAGTTCTCCTTGAAGAGGTTCTTCACATGCCTTGTAAGTTGGATTCCTGGGTATTTTATTCTCTTTGAAGCAATTGTGAATGGGAGTTCACTCATGATTTGGCTCTCTTTTTGTCTGTTATTGGTGTTTAAGAATGCTTGTGATTTTTGCACATTGATTTTGTATCCTGAGACTTTGCTGAAGTTGCCTATGAGCTTAAGGAGATTTTGGGCTGAGACAGTGGGGTTTCCTAGATACACAATCATGTCATCTGCAAACAGGGACAATTTGACTTCCTCTTTTCCTAATTGAATACCCTTTATTTCCTTCTCCTGCCTGATTGCCCTGGCCAGAACTTCCAACACTATGTTGAATAGGAGTGGTGAGAGAGGGCATCCCTGTCTTGTGCCAGTTTTCAGAGGGAATGCTTCCAGTTTTTGCCCATTCAGTATGATATTGGCTGTGGGTTTGTCATAGATAGCTCTTATTATTTTGAGATACGTCCCATCAATACCTCATTTATTGAGAGTTTTTAGCATGAAGCGTTGTTGAATTTTGTCAAAGGCCTTTTCTGCATCTATTGAGATAATCAAGTGGTTTTTGTCCTTGGTTCTGTTTATATGCTGGATTATGTTTATTGATTTGCGTATATTGAACCAGCCTTGCATCCCAGGGATGAAGCCCACTTGATCATGGTGGATAAGCTTTTTGATGTGCTGCTGGATTCGGTTTGCCAGTATTTTATTGAGGATTTTTGCATCAATGTTCATCAAGGATATTGGTCTAAAATTCTCTTTTTTGTTGTTGTGTCTCTGCCAGGCTTTGGTATTTTAAAACAATACAGTTGTATCTATCTGTCCATTCTATATTAAATAATCTTTCTCAGAAATAGCTACAGAGCTCTGCTATCTTGTGTCTAAGAGCTAATTTAAAACTAGGCACCAGTCATGTCTCCCAACACCTATCTCAAAAGAAGGCTGATATACTTGTAAGGTACAATGACATCTTTCCTGACAGGAAGAGGAAACATTTGTTTCAGGTTCAGGCATACCTTGTTTTATCCCACTTTGCTTTACTTACTGCACCTTGCAGATATTTTATTTTTTACCAATTGAAGGTTTGTGATAACCCTGCATCAAGCAAGTCTATCAGGGCCATTTTTCCAACAACATTTGCTCACTTTGTGTGTCTGTGTTACATTTTGGTAATTCTTACAATATTTTACACTTTTCATTATTTTTATATCTATTATAGTGATCTGTGATCATTGATCTTTGATGTTAGTATTGTAATTTTGATGGCACCACAAACCGCAGCCATATAAGATGCCAAACTTCATCGATATATGTTGTGTGTTCTGATGACTTTATCGATGGCCCATTTTCCCATCTCTCCCTCTACTCAGACCTCCCTATTTCCTGAGACACAACAGTATTGAAATCAGGCCAATTAATAACCCTACAATGGCCTCTAAGTATTGAAGTAAAAGAAACAGTCTCAAGTCTCTCACTTTAAATAAAAAGCTAGAAATTATTAAGCTTAGTGAAGAAGGCATATCAAAAGCTGAGATAGACTGAAAGCTAGGCCTCCTGTGCCAATTAGTCAAGTTTTGAATCCAAAGGAAAGTTTCTTGAAGGAAATTAAAGGTGTTACTCCAGTGAACACACATGTATTATTCAGGGTTCTATAGAGGTATAGAACTAATGGAATAGATATATAAAAGGGAGTTTATTAACTCACACGATCACAAGGTCCCACAATAGGCTGCAGGCTGAGGAGCAAGGAGAGCAGTCTGAGTTCCAAAACTGAAGAACTTCGAGTCCGATGTTCGAGGGCAAGAAGCATCCAGTACAGGAGAAAGATGTAGACTGGGAGGCTAGGCCAGTCTCTCTTTTCACATTTTTCTGCCTGCTTATATTCTAGCCGCACTGGCAGCTAATTAGGTTGTGCCCACTGAGATTACGGGTGGGTCTGCCTTTCCCAGCCCACTAACACAAATGTTAATCTCTTTTGGCAACACCTTCACAAACACACCCAAGATCAGTACTTCAATCCAATCAACTTGCCTCTCATTATTAACCATCACAATGCACATGGTAAGAAAGCAAAACTGGCTTATTGCTGATATGGAACAAATTTTAGTAGTCTTTACAGAGATCAAACCAGACACAACATTTCTTTAACCCAAAGTCTAATCCAGAGCAAAATTCTAACCCTAGTCAACTCTATGAAGGCTGAGAGAGGTGAGGTAGCTGAAGAAGAAAAGTCAGAAGCTGTCAGAAATTGGTTCATGAAGTTTAAGAAAAAAAGCCATCTCCATAACTTAAAAGGGCAAGGTGAAGAAGCAAGTGCTGATATAGAAGCTCCAGCAAGTTATCCAGAAGATTCAGCTAAGATCACTGATGAAAGTGTCTACATAAACAACAGATTTTCAGTGAAGAATAAATTGCCTTACATTGAAAGAAGATACTGTCTAGGATTTTCCTAGCTAGAGAGGAGAAGCTAATATCTAGCTTCAAAGCTCCGAAGAACAGATTAACTCTCTTATTAGGAATACAGCTGGTGACTTGAAGTCAATGCTCATTTGCCATTCTAAAAATCCTAAGGCCCTTAAGAATGATGCTAAATCTACTCTGCCGGTGCTTTATAAATTGAACAAAGCCTGAATGACACCATATCTGTTTACAGAATGGTTTACTGAATATTTTAAGCCTACTCTTGAGACCTCCTGCTCGGAATAAAATATTTCTTTCAAATATTACTGTTCATTGACAATGCACCTAGTCACCAAAGAGCTCTGATGGAAATGTACAAGGAGATTAATATATTTTCATGGCTGTTAACATCCATTCTGCAGCCCAGGAACCAAGGAGTATTTATTTTTAATTTTAATGTTTTTGAGGGTCTCATTCTGTTACCCAGGCTGGAGTGCAGTGGCACAAACATGGCTCACTGCAGCCTAAACCTCAAGGAATAATTTTGATGAATTTAAAGTCTTGTTATTGAGAAATACATTTTGTAAGGCTATAGCTGCCATAGTGATTCCTTTGATGGCTCTGGGCAAAGTGAGTTGAAAACCTTCTGTAAAGAATTCACCATTCTAAATGCCATTATAAACATTTGTGATTTATCAGAGGAGGTTAAAATAGCAACATCAATAGGAGTCTGGAAAAAGTTGATCCTAACGCTCATAAATGGCTTTGGGAAGTTGAAGACTTAATTGGAGAAAGTAAATGCAGATGTGTTAGAAATATCAATAGAACTAGAATTTGAATTGAAGCCTGAACATACAACTGAATGTTGCAATCTAATGATGAAACTTGAACAGATGAGGAGTTGCTTCTTATGGATGAGCAAAGAAAGTGGTTTCTTGAAATCTAATCTACTTCTGGCAAAGATGCTGTGAATATTGTTGAAATGACAACAAAGGATTTAAATATTACATAAACTTACTTAGTTGATAATGTAGTAGCAGGGTTTGAAAGAATTGACCTCAATTTATTTATTTATTTGATTATTTATTTATTTTAGAGTCTCACTGTCACCCAGGCTGGAGTGCAGTGGTGTGATTAGGGCTTACTGCAGCCTTGAATTCCTGGGCTCAAGTGATCTTCCTGCCTTAGCCTCCTGAGTAGCTGGAACTATGGGTGCATGCCACCATGTCTGGATAATTTTTTAACATTTTTTTTGTAGAGATGGGTGTCTTGCCATGTTACCCAAACTCCTGGCCTCAAGAGATCCTCCCACATTAGCCTCCCAAAGTGCTAGGATTGTAGGCATGAGCCACTATGCCCAGCCTAACCTCAGTTTTAAAAGAAGTTCTACTCTGCATAAAATGCTATCAAACAGTATCACATACTATAGAGAACTTTTATGAAATGAAAAGTTAATCAATACAGCAAACTTTATCATTGTCTTATTTTAAGAAATTACCACAGCCTCTCCAACCTTCAGCGACCCCTGCCCTTGTCAGTCAGCAGCCATCAACACCAAGGCATGACCTTCCACCTTTTTGACCATAGCAAAAAGACTATGATTCATTGAAGGCTCAGATGATTGTTAGCATTTTTAGCAATAAAGTATTTTAAAATTATGTACATTTTTAGACATAATGCGGTTGTACACTTAATACACTGCAGTTTAGTTTAAACATAACTTTTATATGCACTGGGAACTCCAAAATTTGTGTGACTTGCCTTATTACAGTGGTTTGGATCTGAACCTTCAATATCTCCAAGGTATGCCTGTATTTTAACATTGTTTTTGATATTTCTAGTCTTTGAAATTACTTTCAAGAATAGACTCTATGAGTCTTCTGAAATGAAGAAGCAGTTTATGTGCTGTTGCTGCTAATATTTCTCTGGTGAATATTTTTTACACACCACTGCATGCTGGCGCTTGCATTACTTAAAATGTGGTTAGTGTCAAAAGGCCATGTGTTAAGTGAATAGCCATGCATGTTAAGTAAGTACTGTGATAAGTCAGATTGTAACAAGTACTCTGTAAGCAACACATGGGCTGTTTGATTCAGTAGAGTGATGGTAATGATTTTTATTAATATTTATGAGGCACCTCGGGGTAGAGAGCATTGTAAAATATGTTAAAAGGAATTGTTGCCATATTTGGTGACAAAAGAAAAGAATCCATAGAACTGTGTACCTAGAAATCCCTAAAAGTGGAGGCTCAGTCTATGCAAAAAAGCAATGGGTAGAACAAAGAGAGGACTTCTGTGGTTTTACAGCAAGGGCAGAGGAGGGATATAAAACAGCTGGGTTGCTGTCTGACTCTCACTTTTTGACTGGAGTTTCAGCAGCTTATGGCAAAATGATATTTTGGTTTAGAATAGCATCTGAAATGGAATGCACTAGTGTCTGCTCTCTGTTTTTCGTTCCTTTTCTATTGCTAAGCTTAGACTTGTAATAGGAAATCCAGTCAAGCACTAAACCAAACCCAAGTCTGGGGATGAGAAGAGAGTGAGAAAGGTGGAAGATCCTAACTTCTGGTATGGCCAACAGACAGAGCAATGTGACAGCCTTCTGAAAGTCTCCCTGCCTTTAATCACAGGGACGCATCACCATCCCATTCTGGCCCCTGTGGTCTTTCTTTATCTCTAAAGCAGCCAGAAGTATCTTTTGAAAAGTAGCTGGTGTCATTTACTTAGAGCTTTCTGATTCTTTCACTACACGTAGAAATCTTGATTCCTTACTGTGCCTGCAAAGCTGTACGTGATCTAGCCTCTGGCTCTTTCTCAGACATCATTTTTTTTTTCTAGTTTCCTCTGCATTCACTACACTTCAGCTCATTCCTTCCATCTGGAAGGGCTTTGCCACAGATCCTCCCATGGTTCCCCCTTCTCTTCATTCTGGCTCTTTCAAATATCACTTTTTCAAATACTTCCCTAGCTATAAGCAGCCCTTCCCAACCTGTTCCTATTCCCGACATCATCTACCACTTTATTCTCTTTTATCTTCCTTGTACTTACTACTGTCTGAAATTAATTTAATAATTTATATTGTTTACTTGACTTTTTTCTGTCACCTCCCAGCAAAACAAAAACATCTTAAAACCTTCCACAAGTCTTTAAGCTGTGTAGCTTCTCTACTCAGTATATTCTTAGAATTAAAAAACAAACAAACAAACAAACAAATTTCTTCTAAAGTTTGGCATCAGATTTTCTTAGTCCCTTCTAAAGTAAAACTTTTTTTTTTCTTAGAGAACTAGTCACTTTAATTTTGTATTTAAAAACAATACAGTTGTATGTATCTGTCCATTCTATATTAAATAATCTTTCCCAAAAATAGCTACAGAGCTCTGGTATCTTGTATGTAAGAGCTAATTTAAAACTAGGCACCAGTCATGTCTCCCAACACCTACCTTAAAAGAAGGCTGATATACTTGTAGGGTACAACTAAATCTTTCCTGACAGGAAGAGGAAACATTTGTTTCAGTTACAGGCATACCTTATTTGATCGCACTTTGCTTTACTTACTGCACCTTGCAGATATTTTATCTTTTACAAATTGAAGGTTTGTGATAACCCTGCATCAAGCAAGTCTATCAGGGCCATTTTTTGATGCCTGAGACCAAGCTGACTTTCCATAAATATCGGTTGGCTGGCTGAGCTGACCTCAGTGTGCCAGTAGAAAAGATCAGTGGCTATAGAACAGCATGATTTCATGTTCTTATTATAAGATCCTGAGAGACAGAGTAGATTGTTTCTATTCAAGAGAAATGAGGCCTCCTGACTCCTGGTGTTATATTTCTAGACCATCAAGCTTGAAATATATACTTGAAATATATGAAGATCAGATCAGCCCTTTTAGATGAGTGATGCATAAGCAATGATGAAAGAACTTCCTCTTAATCCCATATTTTCACAGATTACTGTAAAATACTTTTTCTGCTTAAGTGTGTTTCTTTGCAGAGTCATTCAATCACTCAACAAAAATTTATTGAGCCCCTGTCCCATATCAAGCACTACTCCAAGTGCTGGGGCACAGAGAAAAGGAAATAGATAAAAATCTCTGCCCTCATGGAGCTTGCTTTCTAGTGGGGAGATAGAAAGTAAACATGATAACTAAGTCAAGTAGTATGTTAGATAGCTATAGATGCTAAGGGGGTAAGATAAAGTAGGGAAGGAGGATAAGAAGCTTGTGTGTGTGTGTGTGTGTGTGTGTGTGTGTGTGTGTGTGTGTGTTGGTGGGGGAGAGTTTCAATTTTAGATTGGATGGCCAAGGAAGATCTCACTGAGATGAACTTTGAGAAAAGACATGAAGGTGTTGAGAGAATAAGACATGGAAATCTAGAGAAAGAACAATCCAGCCTTGAGTACAAAGGCCTTAAAGTGGGAACAACCCTAGTTGGTTAGGAGAATAGTGAGAAGATAAATGAGTTAAGGGAGAAAGAAAGAGAAAAGTAATACAGTGGTAAGGTAATGGAAGGATGGTGGTAGAAACAATGATTCTATAAAGCCTTATAGGTTACAGCAAAGACATGGAACAGACTTTGCCTTTTACACTGAGTAAGATGGAAAAGGTGGGGAAGTATTGAACCGAGGCATGTTGTGACCTGACTTATGCTATAAACGACCAGTCTTGCTGCTAAGTTATCTCCAGCACAAAAGTACGGCTGGTTCCTTGCTAGTAGAGTGAAGGTATTGAAGACTGGCCAGATACTGAATATAGATAGAATGTGAAGCTAGCACTGACAGGATTTGATCATGGACTCAGATAGGATATAAGGCAAAGAACAACTACAAGAGCTTTGGTTTGAGCAACTGGAAGAATTGAGATGAGGTTGGTGGAGAACATTTTAAGCTTCTGTTCAGACATGATACATGCCAGATGCCTATTAGACATCTAATAGTGAGAAGATGAATAAGAATTGTAGACCTTAGCCTGTAAGCTGATGGAGGGGTCTTGGTTGGAAATAGAAATTTGGGAATAATTAGCATATAAGTGCTATTTAAAGCCATGACAGATAACTTGACATGCTAATAGTTTATCATCCAAGTAATATTCCTTTTTGTCGTCTCTTTCTTTCTCCCTTCCTTCCTTCCTTCCTTCCTTCCTTCCTTCCTTCCTTCCTTCCTTTCTCATTTCTCAGGTGGTTAAATGGTTTTAATTGGGAGGGACTGAAAGCACGGAGCCTTCCATCACCTTTGCAAAGAGAGGTATTGTATTTATTATATTACTTTTTTATTTTTTTCCCAGGGATTTGTTTTTGTACACAGATTTTAGATGTGTGTATGTATATGCCCATAACAGATTTTGGGTGTTTTTTTTTAAAGCAGTTTTTATTTTAATTTAAGTGAGTTTGTCTTATAATTGTGATTATAGGGACTAAATAGTACTGCCTAGCTGATGGATATTAACTTACCTGTCAAGAACCAAATACATGTCAGTGCCACTTAAGTCCCAAAGTAGTCAGTGTTGTTCAGGCTGACAAATGACTGTATAAATTTGATGTGAACAATGTATGTAACTTAAGATTTTCTAATAGCCATTTTAAAAAGGTGAAAAAAAAGGTGAAAATAATTTTAATTATCATAATACCTCCAAAATATTAT
The DNA here is from genome assembly GCF_000001405.40 of Homo sapiens. Classification (NCBI taxonomy): domain Eukaryota; kingdom Metazoa; phylum Chordata; class Mammalia; order Primates; family Hominidae; genus Homo; species Homo sapiens. The sequence goes on along the minus strand of NC_000004.12, from coordinate 81,091,989 downwards.
TTCAATATGTAATCAATATAAAATATTAGTGAGATAGGTTATGTTTATTTTTCCATAATAAATTTTCTAAATCCCAAGTGAATTTTACTGTTACAGCACATCTCAGTTCAGAAGAGCGACATTTCAAGTGCTCAGTCACTTCGTGTTGCTAATGGTTTTGTTATTGGATAGTGCAGCTCTAGAGGCAGCAGAACTTCAGCTAACATGGGAGGAAGAATGACTCAGGAATGATCTAGGTCAACATACTACTAAGTTTATGTTAGTGTTTTTTCCAAAAGATTGCAAAGATCTATATTTCCTCTTATACATTGGTAGATTGCTATCTGACTTTTTTTCATCAAAGTGTAGTTGTGGAGAATATGATTTCCAGTATGTTGTAAATATTGACATTTTAAAATAAAACACTAGGCCAGGCATGGTGGCTCACGCCTGTAATCCTAGCACTTTAGGAGGCCGAGGCGGGCGGATCACGAGGTCAGGAGATCGAGACCATCCTGGCTAACATGGTGAAACCCTGTCTCTACTAAAAATAAAAAAAAATTAGCCGGGCATGGTGGCGGGCACCTGTCATCCCAGCTACTCAGGAGGCTGAGGCAGGAGAATGGCGTGAACTCAGGAGGTGGAGCTTGCAGTGAGCCGAGATCACGCCACTGCACTCCAGCCTGGATGACAGAGCAAGACTCCGTCTCAAAAAATAATAATAATAATAATAATAAAAACACTACTGTTACTTCATTCCTTTAAACATGTCTACTATAATCTAAATACCATTGAGATTTAATACCTATCTGCCACTTATAAAGTTTGGGCAGAAATATTGTATCACTCCTTTTCATCATATCATCATATTTTCATTCTATGTTCCCTATAAGATTTCATCCTAATGTAAAATGCTTCTATGCTTGACAATCTTTCTTGATCATTCTTTAAATGCCTTCGAATTTTAGATTTAAAATTTGTGATAACACCAGTATTTCTTCTGAATTCTGTTATAATTACATTTTTATGGCATGCAGTGTCAAATGGCATAAATATATTATGAATATCTAATGGTAATTATTAAATAAACATTTTTTGAGAAGAAATTATTTCATGTATCTATGGATAGATATTATTTATTAGAAGAATGGGATCAGATTCAGCATCAATTCTATTCCTTTTTAAAATGATTGTTATGCAGATACAAATTCTAAGAATTGTGTTCTCACATATATAAGTGGGAATGGAAGGTTTTATTACAGCGATGTCACTTTGAGCTCCTTCTGAATGATCTCTAGCTCTGTTCCTCCACCACATTATGATCTATCATAAATAATATTTTTAATGATTTTTCAGCTGATCATTCAGTTAGGCATTACTTACATTTGTTTGAAAGCAGAGTTAGAAATCATTTTATTTGTGAAATAATTTAATACCAGCATAATTTCACTCTCTCAACAGGGTCACTAATATTTTGAATTGTTCCTTTTTTGGCATTCTGAATACTTTATATGGATCAATTAACCATAAAAATTTCAGGATTGGTGAGAAACTTATATAATGGAAGAAGAACGCTAGCAGATTTTGATTTTAAAAGAGTTTTCAATTAAAAAAATAAATAGACATCATTTCTGTCACTTATTTTTTTTTTTTGAGAGAAAGTCTCACTCTGTTACCCAGGCTGGAGTGCAGTGGTGTGATCTCAGCTCACTGCAACCTTCACCTCTCAGGTTCAAGTGATTCTCCTGCCTCAGCCTCCAAAGTAGATGGGATCACAGGTGTGTGCCACCATGCCAAACTAATTTTTGTATTTTTAATAGAGATGGAGTTTCACCACATTGGCCAGGCTGGTCTCGAACTCCTGACTTCAGGTGATCTGCTTGTCTTGGCCTCCCAAAGTGCTGGGATTACAGGCGTGAGCCACAGCGCCTGGCCTATTTCTGAACTTTTTCTTTAGGAAAACTCTTCATGCCAGGTAGTTACTATTGAATGTTATCTGGTGACCAAATCTATTTGGTTGTAAAGAGAAGATCTCATGAGGCTGAGACTAGGACTCAAGAATGATAATTGGTCATTTTTTTCTTGTATGTAACTTCCAAGTGGCTGCAGTATGAAATCAGTGTTCTGAAATAAAAAACATTACCCATATGTGATAGCATGCTTGGTCAACATTATTCTTCCTTTTGTTTTAATTATTTCTATATTAGCTCAAGGGACCCATAGATCACAGCTACTTTGACAAATATCCTCCTGAAAAGGGAATGCCTCCAGATGAGCTATCAGGCTGGGATAAAGACTTCTGACAGAAGAAAAGTTGATTACTGCCTGTACTCTACAGAAGAGGACCTCAAGGATCAATAATCCAACACATTATTTTCTTTTCAGAGTATTATAATATCTTTGGAAGACCATTAGGGAAAAGAAATTCCTGCACAATGGGAAGAGGAGAATGGTGTGGATATGGTTCTGAGTTATAGTGTCTTATTTAGATGCTGTGAATTATTGATGTATTACATTATTTGCTTTTCTCAACTGCTAGAGGCTACCCCATTTTCCTTTCCACAATCAGAGCCATTTTTGTTAAAGTGGCAGTTTTTTCTGCAATCTATTGTTCCATTCCAATCATATCCTTCTCGTTTGAGTACTACTAACGTTTAAAAAGGGTCTTGCCCTTGAATAACTAAGTCATACAAATAGAAGGAAAAACAATGGTGAATTTTGGAGAGCTCCCCAGCTCTCAGCAACTTCATATAAGCATGGTGGTATCTTAAAATGGTGGTTTGCAGAAACCATGGTAGCCAACAGAACCTCCTGACTTTCACCTGCTTTTAACCTGAAAATATATTAATACGCCTCTGACATGAGTCCAGGGAGAGGCAAGATTGAGCAATAGTCAGTGGCACCATTTCCTAAAGTAACTGAATCAATCAATCCAGTCAGGTAATTATTTTCTATTGGGGAACTTAGAAAAAAAAGTAAAGCAAGAAATATTTTCTCTCCTTTATGATCAGTGATACCTTAGAGACTTTTCGAAAGTCCTTGTTAAAGATAGTTACAATGTGTGGTTAAATGATGCTAAAATATTTTCACAACCAGAGTAGAAAACGTGCTGGAACAAAATTGCGAAGGCTTTTGCCTCCCAGTAAATAGAAAGGAAAATATATTCTAGTAGGTAAGACTGCTGACTCTTTGAAAATCTGAGGTATTTTGAAAAATTCTGTGATAGTTGCTATTAATAAACCAAAATTGTATAGAATCATCGTTAATTTTTAATATAAATCCCATTGACAAATGTTGATGCACTGTAGTCACTGCTGAGTTAATAGCGCTTTTTAAAGACATCTGAGTCATGGATGTGTTTATAAATTTAGATTGTTAAGACAGGCAAGCCACCAGAAAAGTGATAGGATTTCAGAAGTAAAAGGGACAACAGCATCCCTCCTATCCCTTCCTTGCACTCTCCCAAATAATAAGTAGGATAGTTTCAATAGCATGGGACCTAGTACCTAAGAACTTCACTGGTGAATGGTTGTATGTATTGACCATGATCATTCCCTTACCCTCCTTCCAAAATGAATGAGAAGCAGAGACTTTTCTGTATTTTTTAAATCTAGCAGAGTAAAAATACTGTATAAGTTCCGGGATTATTCAAGCTTCTGGTTATATTTTCATATGTTAATGTTCTATGTCAAAAGGAACCTCTACCCAGTCCCCACTCATAATTTCATCATCCAGAAAAAAGCCAGCTATATGCTTCCTTAATGAGTTAAGCTAGATAAGTGAAGCCCAATCCAGAAAGGTGCATCCTTAACAAATTAGATTTCCACATTTATAATCCTTTTGCTGAACCAAAGAGTTTTTGTTTCCTGGAGCTGTATTTTTAAAGATTATGTATTGTACATAGAATAATCATTTTTAATAGGATTGACATAACCTGCTTAAAGAATTTCTAAGAGTTTTTAAAGATTTTTATTTGAATTTGGTTGGTTTGTACTGTATGTTTTTCCATGTATATATTTTTAAATTTCCAACCTATAAAGATAGAAAATTTATGTATTGGGTGGATATTAGAACTATACAGTTATAATAGGAATGATATTCTCAAAGCAGATCAATAGTTGTAATTTTTAAAACCCTACATATATAGAAATAACCAAGTTAGAGTACTACAGGTTTATTTTTCCTGTGATTGACCATGTCAATGTGTTATCCTCCCATGTGATTTTTTATTGTTTCCTTAGAGTACTTTAAAAGATGAAGAAATGAGAGACTGAACCATTGAATAATCCCAACTCCACCATTTCCTAACTGAGTGACTCTGGGAAAGTGATTTAGCTTTTTTGAGTACTAGCTTTCTCATTCATAGAAAAAGGCAGAGTAAAGTAATATTTACTTAGAGGTTTGTTTCAGGGATTAAGTTATGTAGAGAGTCTTTTGCCCGGTATCTGTGAAATAACCATTGCTGCATAGACGGGAGCTACTGTTACTGTCTCTATTAAAATTAAAGGGGCCTTAATAACCATTTAGTCCTGAATCTTATGTATCATTGGTATCTGTATGCAGAATTGTACTTATCAAATCCAGTATCTGTCTTTTTTTTCTTTTAAATCATGAAGTAAAAATGATTGACCAAAAACTTCGGTGTATGAGATGAAGGGTTAACCTTCACTAAAGTGAAGTGCTTCGTTAAGTTAACCTAAATTTTAATTTTTATGAATTAAAGATACACACATACAGGGAAATATGGAAAATTACCCTCATATATGCATACCTATCATTTTCCTAATCATTAAATCATTCCCAATCTCTCTAGTTAGGATGTAAACTTAATTTTTCATCCTTGAGCTTCTTCCAAGTGGGACCAACTTTTCATAATTATAGGTTCTTAATGCCTTCTTTAAATATAAACACATCTGAAGAAAAGACAGTGTAGTAGTGAAAAGTAAGAGATTTAGAGAAGAACAAGAAAAAAAAAAAACCTGGGCTTGAATTCCAGCTCTGCCCAGATTTGTGTAACCTTGAACATTAAACCTCAGCTTTACTCTTCTGGAACTTGGAGATATACATTTAAAGCTTTGAAATCTTGCGCCAGAATATTATTACTAGTAGGTCATTCGTAATAAACATTTGAAAATAAGTATATATCTATATTTCTTTGGGCACAATAACAAATCCTTGTTCTTTATTGCTAGGCATTGTACTAGGAGTATTTATATCTATTAAGTCATTCACACAAGATACTAAAATAATTATAAATACACAGATAGTTGACTTTATTCAAAATTTTTTTATTTATTGGCCTTAAATATGCATTTTTTTTACAAAGAGATGCTCATTTTATTTTATTTTTAAATTACCTGAGGGTTCCAATATGATGATGATGATGATGATGATGATTATTATTATTATTATTATTACTATTTTATATCTTTCTCATGTTTAAAAATTCTACATTCAGGGCACACATGCATGTTTGTTACTTGGGTATATTGCATAATGGTGGTGATTTGGTTTTCAGTGTATCCATCACCCAAATTTAAATATACATTTTATTCACAATTTAGCTCTGATGGTTTTGCATGGCTTAGTCCCAGTTGTTATAACTGTTAACAAATTACCCCAAAACTTAGTTGCTTAGAACAACCATTTTGTTACTCTCCTAGATTTCGTGGGTCAGGAATTCAGACAACACATGACAAGGATGTCTTGTCTCTGCACCACAATATCTGGGGAACCAGGTGGAAAGACTCAAAGATTAACGGTGACTCAGTGGCTAGGAGCTAGAATTACCTGAAGCCTTGTTCACTCACATATCTGCTACCTGGCTGGGACTTCTCAAAGACAGGACTTAGGACCAGGTTGCCTACACATACCTTTTCCATAGCTTGGATTCCTCACATAATGGCATCCTTAAACTAGTCAGACTTCTCTTGTGGCAGCACGGGGCTCCTACAGTGATTATTCTAGCTAACAAAGCAGAAGCTATACTATCCTTTATGAATTAGCTTTGGAAGTCAAATAACATCACTTCTCCCACACTCTGCTGGTGGAAACAAAAGCCCACCCAGATTTGAGGGGAGAGAACATAGACTTAACTTCCTAATGAAGAGAATTTTAAAGAATTTGTGGACAAATTTTAAAACTGCCGCAATTCACTTTCTGGCCACACATTACTTATATTACTCCCATATGAAAAACAAATTTATTCCTTCCCAAGAGCCTCCCTAAAAATATTATCAGGCTCTGGCTCATGGTCCTGGGTCATGTCATCTAAATCCAATTTAAGTGTAGAAGACACTCTTCAGGTATAATTCCTTCCATACATTATTTTAAGTCTAAAATCCTGTGAAATAAGTAAATAAGTAATCTGCCTGGACAGTCACACATTGAGAGGTAAAAAGCAAAGGCCGACCACACCAGATACTTGGATTAGGAGGAGAGAATGGAAGGCACAAAGTAATAACTAGTCTATGGTAATCCTGAAATTTGGCCAGACACGTGAGCTTTTCTTGGCTTAGGACTCACTCCTACTCCCTGTGAGTCATTCTTCATAGCTCATGGTGGCACCATTTAGAATCTTGGTTCTGCCTTCTGAGCCATCCTTCCTCTTCCATAAGATATAGCTGATTTTTCAACTGAGTAGGCATCTTAGCCACTTTGATGCCGGTGAAAATTTGATGGTAGAAATGCCTCTTTTCAGCTTGTTTCTGCCTCTTTATTTCAAGCTGATACATTTCTTTTAAAAACTTCATGATTTTTCAAATACGAATTCATAATCCAGTCCACTAGACAATAGCCAGTCACAAATCTTTCCTCTAAAGATGCTCTGAGAAAATGCACTTAAGATTCTTAGAAGTTTTACTTTTTATGAGAGAAGTTCTGTACAACACATGCAAGATGCCTCAGAGGATTGTTTGAAGGGGTGTGGTGGGCACCTTCAAAGATAGCTTCCAGCAATCCCTGCTTGTGGTAGTCATGGCCTTTTATAATCCCCTCCTCTCCAGTACTGGCTGAACCTAGTGACTTCCTTCTAACAAACAGAATATAAACAAAGTGAAGGGATGTCACTTCTGAGATTGGGTTACAAGGGGACTCCGCGTATATTCTCCTGAGCCTCTCTCCCTCTCATTTGCTTGCTCTGATGGAAGCCAGCTGCTGCAATTTGAGTAAACGTGGCAAATAACTGAGGGAGGCTCTGGCTAACAGTCAGTGAGCAAATGAGGCCCTCAGTCCAGCAACCTATGATGAGCCAACTCCAGTCAACAATCACATGCCTGAACTTAGAGCAGATCCTCCACTGAGTTGAGCCTTTAGATGGAACTGCTGCCCCAGCCAATATTTTGCAGCCTAGTGACAGCCCATGCACCAGAGGACTCAGACAAATGATTCTGGAGTTCCTGGTCCACAGAATGTGTGAGATAATAATTGTGCATTGTTTTAAACTACTAATTTGGGAAGGGAAGATTGACATAAAATGGAGGAAGAAGGATAAAATGGACAGAAGAGAAAAAAGTTGAATCCTTGAGGAAAAAACAAATTTGTAGTGACAAACTGGAACACATGAGGACAAACTGGAACTTGCATCTGTCTTTCCTGGTTGCCAGCCTTGGTCATTTAGGTGACCTACAGGATAAGCTGATACCTTTAAAATATTCCTGCTTTAGGATTTGAAGATGCTGAAGGAACAGTCTAGCTGGAACTGGAAAGACCATAGGCCTGGCTGTGCTCTGTACCAACAAGGTGAGTCAACAGATGAGACAATGTGTATGAGCTGCAGCAGTACTTGGACTTATACTGTCCCCTGGAGTGCAAATATAGCTGCTTCTCATGTCTGCCTTTCAGATCTTATGTAAATTTCTCTTGTGAAAAGGCCTAACTCAGAACCATACTGAAAAGGGAATTCTGGGAAACATATTTCTGGCTTAGCTAAATTGACACAGTACAAAGTCACTCAGTTTTAAAACTAGTAAAACATATTATGTATTATTATTATTATGTAATTTATTCAGTTTGATTTAGTAATGAGATTTGCTTTACCTCTTTCTACCCAATAATCTTTGAAATATATTTAGGGCATGGGACACGTGACTCAATCAAAATCAGTGATAACAATTTGTCTCAAGTGATTTACAAGCAAGCTATAAACTGAATTAGAGCTGGAGCATTTTCAATTCTGAAAGACATAAAACCAGGATATTTTTGTTTATTTAATTGTTGGTTGCTAAATTAAAAGTGGTACAATGAAAAGTAACATGAAATTTGTTTTGATAAGTATAAACTTCCTCAGTAAGGGAAACACAAATAGACATGCATTTTGGGGGAAGAAGCAGAAGATGATGTGATAATAGAACAAATGGGGCTTACTCTTCAGGCAGATGAAAGCAAGCTAGGAGTCACACTGGAACACAAGCTGATATGAGCCAACCACCCAATCCTGCTGCTTAAAATTCAGGAGGATCCTCAGATTGCTAAGTGGATCATAACATGCAAAAGCTCTACGCGCTTCTGAATTCTGTTTGTGCAGCCTCTTTTCCTTTGATGCAGGGTCTTGCTCTGTGTTCCAGGCTGGAGTGCGGTGGCACAATCACAGCTCACTGCAGCCTTGACCTCCCCGGCTCAAGCAATCCTCCCACCTCAGCCTCCCTCGTAGCTGGGACTACAAGTGCGCACCACGACCAAAAAAAAAACCAAACCAAAACAACAACAACAAAAACCCAAAACACAATTTTATTTTGTATTTTTTGTAGAGATTGAGTTTCACCATGTTGTTCAGGCTGGTCTTGAACTCCTAGGCTCAAGCAATGCACCCACCTTGGCCTCCCAAAGTGTTGGGACTACAGGCATGAGCCACTGCACCTGGGCTTAGTCAGCCTCTCTTAAGGTCTTGTGCTCGGTTTTGCTTTTGGGAAAGATAGTCAAAATATTAAAGTGTGCCTTTTCTCTTTGAGGGCTCATAAGGATTAATGAGAGTAAGGGAGACCTCTTATTCAAATGGGTGGTGAATGCAAAGAAAATTATTACATACATGTCTTAACTGATTCACTCAACAATTATGAATTTGAGCACTTATGTTCCAGGCATTGTTCTAGGTGTTGAGGACACAGCAGGATAAAATTATAGTTCTAAAAAATGCTTATATTTATTATATAACTGTGTTAACAGTAACGATCTCCAGGTGGTATAATCATGTATACTTTTTCTTTTATCTATATTTTCTTTGTTCTATACATTGAAATTATATTTTATAATAAGAAAAAACTTCATTTAGAAAAAGAAATTTGAATCAAATGTAGGCTAGATATCAGAAAGATTATTTTTAAAAAAGGGGGGACTGTTGAACGTTTATAAATTTTACTACATCACATCAGTTTTATTGGCAGCAGACTGGCATAGCCTTTCTCAGGCCTCAACAGCTTTCAGCACCTTTATTCACTTGAATCTTTGAGTTAAACTTTTACAGACTTCCTGGTGGTGCTCTGTATTAGTCCTTTTTCATGCTGCTGACAAAGACATACCCAAGACTGGGTAATTTAAACAGGAAAAAGCATTTAATGGACCTATAGTTCCACGTGGCTGGGGAGGCCTCACAATCATGGCAGAAGGCAAGGAGGAGTAAGTCATGTCTTACATGGATGGCAGCAGGCAAAGAGAGAGCTTGTGCAGGGAAACTCCACCTTATAAAGCCATCAGATCTCATGAGACTTATTCACTATCATGAGAACATCACGGAAAAGACCTGCCCCCATGATTCAACTGCCTCCCACCAGGACCTTACCACATGTGGGAGTCAAGATGAGATTTGGGTGGGGACAGAGCCAAACCATATGATTCCACCCCTGGCCCCTCCCAAGTCTCATGTCCTCACATTTCAAAACCAATCATGCCTTCCCAACAGTCCCCCAAAATCTTATTTCAGCATTAACTCAATAATCCACACTCCAATGTCTCATCTGAGACAAGGCAAGTCCCTTCTGCCTGTGAGCTTGTAAAATTAAAAGCAAATTAGTTACTTCCCAGATACAATGGGGGTACAAGCATTGGGTAAATATAGCCATTTCAAATGGGAAAATTAACCAAAACAAAGGGGCTATAGGCCCCATGGAAGTCTGAAATCCAGCAGGGCAGTCAAATCTTAAAGCTCCAAAATGATCTCCTTTGATTCTATGTTTCACATCCAAGTCACGCTGATGCAAGAGGTGGGTTCCCATGATCTTCAGTAGCTCTACCCCTGTGGCTTTGCAGGGCACAGCTTCCCTCCCAGCTGTCTTCATGGGCTGGTGTTGAGTGTCTGCAGCTTTTCCAGACACATGGTGCAAGCTGTCAGTGGATCTTGGATCTGCCATTCTGGGGTCTGGAGGATGGTGGCCCTCTTCTCATAGCTCCACTAGGTGGTGCCCCAGTAGGGACTCTGTGTGGAGGCTCTGACCCCACGTTTGCCTTCTGCACTGCCCTAGCAGAGGTTCTCCATGAGAGCCCCGCCCCTGCAGCAAACTTCTGCCTGGACACCCAGGCGTTCCTATATATCCTCAGAAATCTAGGTGGAGGTTCCCGAACCTCAATTCTTGACTTCTGTGCACTTGCAGGCTGAACACCATGTGGAAGCTGCCAAGGCTTGAGCCTTGCACCCTCTTAAGCCATGGCCTGGGCTGTACCTTGGCCCCTATTAGTCACTGCTGGAGTGGCTAGGATGCAAGGCACCAAGTCCCTAGACTGCACACAGCATGGGAACCCTGCACCAAGCCCATGAAACCATCTTTTCTTCCTCGGCCTCCAGGCCTGTGATGGGAGGGCCTGCCGTGAAGACCTCTGACATGCCCTGGAGACATTTTCCCCATTGTCTTGGGGGTTAACATTCAGTTCCTCGTTACTTATGTAAATTTCTACAGCCACTTGAATTTTTTTCTCAGAAAATAGAATTTTCTTTTCTATCACTTTGTCAGGCTGCAAATTTTCCAAACTTTTATGCTCTGTTTCCCTTTTAAAACTGAATGCCTTTAACAGCACCCACATCTCCTCTTGAATGCTTTGCTGCTTTGAAATTTTTTTTCACAAGATACCCTAAATTATCTCTCTCTAGTTCAAAGTTCCACAAATCTCTAGAGCAGGGTCAAAATGCTGCCAGTCTCTGCTAAAACATAACAAGAGTCACCTTTGCTCCAGTTCCCAACAAGTTCCTCATGTCCATCTGAAACCACCTCAGCCAGGACTTTATTGTCCATATTGCTGTTAGCATTTTGGGCAAAGCCATTCAACATGTCTCTAGGAAGTTCCATACTTTCCCACATTTTCCTGTCTTCTTCTGAGCCCTCCAAACTGTTCCAACCTCTGCCTGTTACCCAGTTCCAAAGTCACTTTTGGGTATCTTTTCAGCAGTGCCACACTCTACTGTTACCAATTTAATGTATTTAGTCTGTTTTCATGCTGCTGTTAAAGACATACCCAAGACTGGGTAATGTATACAGGAAAAAAGCATTTAATGTACTTACAGTTCCATGTGGCTGGGGAGGTCTCACAATCGTGGTAGAAAACAAGGAGGAGCAAGTCACATCTTATATGGATGGCAGCAGGAAAAGAGAAAGCTTGTTCAGGGAAACTCCACCTTATAAAGACATCAGATCTGCTGAGCCTTATTCACTATCTTGAAAACAGCATAGGAAAAACCTGCCCCCATGATTCAATTGCCTCCCACCGAGTCCCTCCGACAACATGTGGGAATTCTCCAGTATTTATTTTTCTGTTTCCACCTTAATTTACTCAGGATAATGGCCTTTGTTTCCATCCATGTTACTGCAAACACGAATGGACATGATCCCGCTCTTTCTTATGGCTACATAGCATTCCATTATGTATAGGTACCACATTTCCTTTATCCAGTCCATCATTGCTGGGAATTTAGGGTGATTCCATGTCTTTGCTGTTGTAAACAATGCAGTGATTAACATATGCCTGCATGTGTCTTTATGGTAGAGTGATTTGTATTCCTTTGGGTATATACCGCATAATGAGATTGCTGGATCAAATAGTAACTCTGTTTTAAGTTCTTTGAGAAATCTCTAAACTGCTTTACATAGTGGCTGAACTAATTTATGTTCCCACCAACAGTGTATAAGTGTTCCCTTTTCTCCTCAACTTCACCTGTATGTTATTTTTTGCCTTTTTAATAATAGCTATTCTGGCTGGTGTGAGATGGTATCACACTGTGGTTTTGATTTGTAGTTCTCTAATGATTAGTGATGTTGAGCATTTTTTCATATGCTTTTTGGCTGTTTGTATGTCTTCTTTTGAGAAGTGTGTGTTCATGTTCTTTGCCCATTAAAAAAAAAATCTTTTTTCTTCTGGACATAGGGTCTCACTCTGTCACCCAGGCTGGAGGGCAGTGATGCAATCTCAGCTCACTGCAACTTCGGCCTGCCAGGCTCAAATGATTCTCCTACCTTAGCCTCCTGAACATTTTTTTGAAACAGCCAAAAATTTAACTAGAGAGCTTCTGCACGGCAAAATAAACTATCAAAAAAGTAAACAGCTTACACAGTAGGAGAAGACATCTGGAAACTATGCAACTGACAAAGGTCTATAAATATCCAGAATCTATAAGGAACTTAAACAGGGGACTACAGGCATATGCCACCACGCCTGGCTTATTTTTATATTTTTAGTAGAGATGGGGGTTTCACCATGTTGGCCAGGCTGGTCTCGAACTCCTGACCTCAAGTGTTCCACCCTTCTTGGCCTCCCAAAGTGTAGGGATTACAAGTGTGAACCACCGTGACCAGCCTACCCATTTTTTAATAGGTTTGTTTGTTTTTCACTTCTTAATTTGTTTAAGTTCCTTATAGATTCTGGATATTTATAGACCTTTGTCAGTTGCATAGTTTCCAGATGTCTTCTCCTATTGTGTAGGCTGTTCACTTTTTTGATAGTTTATTTTGCTGTGCAGAAGCTCTTCAGTTAAATTTTTGGCTGTTTCAAAAAAATGTTTAGTTCTACTTCTACCAGACTTCCTGTGCCTTGTTCCCTCACCTTTTCCCTCACCACCAGGCAGAGTATCTCCTGACAATAAATTCTCTGTGCCGAATGGATACATATTAATTAATTAATTACTTGACTGATAGATTCCCTCAACTAACATTTGTGTGACTACTCTGTGCCAGGCACAATTCCAGCACTGGTGTTCAGCAATAAACAATATACACTTTCATCATAAAACACATATTCTAATTGCATGACAATAACAGTAAATAATTAAAAACAGAAGGTATTACAAAATTTAACTCAACATACAGCTTGTGCATAAAAAATTTAAAAGTAGTGTCTGTAGCTTATCTCATCTCTTTGTAACTTTCACCTACTAGTTAGCGGGTAGGGAGGAGAAATGAAAAGTCTCATTCGGTTTAAAGTTGATCTAATCAAATACTTTAAGCAGTCCCTCTAGGGCAGTGGTTCTCAGATTTTGGAGTGGAAGTTGATACATGCATTAAGACTCAGGCCACACCTTTTAAGGAGCCTGGTTCTCTCTGAGCTTTCTTAACAACCCAGGTGGATCTGACAAACAGCAAAGTATGAGAATCTTTGCTTTATGAAAATTTCAGTCTCTCTTAAACAAAAATGCTCAGATTATCATTTAGCATCTCTTCTAAATATGTTCCTTACCAAGATGGGGCCAATGTCAGTGCTCTAAGGCAGGATATCTACTTGGTTGCTGTTTGGCTGATACTCATGGTCAAAGTCTATGGCTAGGGAAGCCCATCATTTGTCTCTCCGGGCTGGGACAGGGCCCAAAGCCTCCTTCATTGACTCAGATTCCGATTGGTTATGCTAGCACTAGAGTCCTTCAGGGTTTGACTACGGTCTCTTGCGATTCTAGGCAAGATTTGCTCTGGAGAATTCACTACAAACCTACCTGCTCACTACTAAGGGAATCCCCTCTGATCAGCTCCGTAGCTGGACATTCAGGGTTATAGATTCTGTTTTCACAATGTAGAAGCCAAAAGGATTCATGATAATTATAGCTCAGGGCCTCTTGCTGCCCAGTTATGCTGCACCCTCAATATTACTATGCTACAGTCCACCCCAGGGAAGACTGTGAGGAGCCACAAACACAGGAAAGGGGGGATTTTTTTCCCTTTCTCTTTCCATAGTTTCCCAAGGGCAGAAAAATGCAGGCTTTCTCCTCTTTCTGTTATGTCTGGACTTCCCTTACATACATAAAACTCTTGTCTCTTCCACAAAGCCTGATCCTATATAAGCTGAAGGAGGAGATACAGGAATTTAGATAATCCTTTCTGAGGGCCAAAGCTTGTCCTTTGAATTTTAAAAGCTAAATATTTCCTAGGACTTTCTCAGCACAATCCTACTGGAAGTAATCCTGTCGGCAGGTGGATGATTCCAGAAAAGAGCCAAGATTTATTTTTGGTAAGCAAAGGCAAGATCACATTCATAATTTAAAAAGAGAATTATTTCCCCTTTGCAAAAATAAATAAAGCAGAAACTTTCATCACTGTGATAAATGCTATTAATACAATTAAACAGGATCATGGGACAGAATGCTGCTGAGAAGAGGTGAGAACGGCTTTGAATAAGTGGTAAGGAAATGCCATCCTGAGTCGGTGACATTTGAGCTGAAACCTGAATGATGAAAAAGAAACAGGCTTGAGACAGTCTAGGATAAAGTGTTCCAGGCAGAGAAATCAAATGCAAAAGGTGTGGGGTATTAACGAATTTGGCATGTTTCAGAAACAGAAAGCAGTCCTGTAAGTTTCCAGAATTGTGAGAGCTCAGAGAGGTAGACAGGCCCAGATTGTGAGTCTCATAGGCCACAGTAAAGTGTTTGGTTTTATCCCAAATGAAATATGAAGACATTTGATCTTTTTTTTTTTCTTTTGGAGCAGAGGAGGGATCTGTTTTACGGTTTTGAATGATCACTCTGGTGGCTATGCTAGGATGAAACATAGATTGAAGAATAAAGGAAGCAGGCAGTTGAATTACTTAATTCAGGGGAAAACTGATGGGGACTGGCTCACACTAGAGTGTCAAGTGGGTCATGGACAAAGAATACTGGGTAGACTGGAACTGTTTGGAGAGAGAGGTGACGAGATTGGATGTGAGAGTGAGGGAGAGAGAGGAAATAAGCAAGGATGATCCTTGGGGTTTTCAAAGTTCTAAGTTGGTAATTGAATGTACACAAGTATGTATGTATGTATATATGTGGGTGGGTGTGTGCCTGTGTATGTGTGTGTAAAATATCCTTTCTTCTAGTAATGTTTGCGGACTGTGGTCTCAGTTATTTTTCAAGTAGAGTTGCAGATATTGGTGATTACAACTGTATGAGGTAAAATAAAAAGAAAGGAGAATCACATTTTAAGTACTTCTGTGACACAGTGTGCTAAGTACTTTATATATGTTATCTCACTTGAAATTTTTGCCTCCATTTTATGTAGTTATTATTATTACCACATATTGGGTTGGTGCAAAACTAATTGCGGTTTTTTGTCATTACTTTCAATGGCAAAAACTGCAATTACTTTTGCAGCAACTTAATAATAGATGTGGAAGTTTGACCCAGGTTGGAAAATAAATTAGCACACTTCAAAGACTTATTCAACTAATATTTTTAAAGGACCTACTGTGTGCATGATATTTATTGTTGTTACTCAGAATGGGTAACATCATTTCCATCACTATGACCATTTATGGGGAATAAAAGAGTTTTAAATTCCCATTTTTGTGTGGTATATTTTCGGAGTCAAAACTGCTTTAAACAAAAGACCTTGCATTTCATGCACTAACTATAATATGTAATAGCTATGGTCAAAAATATTCTCCAGTATGCATCATACTGGGGTATCAGTCAAAATACCTATATTATGTACAAGCAGTGCTGTTAAGATTTTAGGTGATGGAATGTGATCAGAGTGGGAGAGTTTTGAACTTACTTAGCTTTTTATCTCTCTTCATTCAAAGTTCAATTTCTGCTACCTTTCAAGTTTAACAGAATTGGGAATACTAGCTCTTTCTTTTTGTCCTTTAGCCTATTTTTATTTAATTTTTTCTTACATTGAAATTCAACATTCACTCAATAAACATGTTTGAGCACCTATAGTACATACAATAATCCATAGAGCAACTGAAATCAAATACCACAAATAATTTCTTGGTTATGGTTGTGATTTCATATTACATATCAATGACTTGGCCTTGGTTCAGTACACTTTTTATATTACAGGGGAATATTGGATATCATATAAAAAGAATCATTGTTTAATATTAAGGGGAATATAACAAAATTTAAACTTCATGGTTGCTACAAATGTTAAATATATTTGCATACAAAAAGAGAGAAAAGACCAAAAGAAAATAACAAAAAAAAATGTTGACCTCTGAGTTGCGGAATAATAGATTCTTTTCCATGCTTCCTACCTTCTCAATATTTCTCTAAATTTTTGAAAACATATGCAATAAAAATTTTGGTCATGAACAATATTTCTTTTTTTTTTTTTGTGGTAAGAACACTTAACCTGAGATCTACCCTCTCAAGTTGTTAAGTGCATAATACAGCAATGTTAACTATAGGCACCTTGTTGCACAGCAGATCTCTAGAAGGTATTCATCTTGCAAAACTGAGACTTTATATTTGTTGAATAACAACTACTCATTTCCCCCTTGCCCCAGCCCATGTAACCACCATTCTACTGTTTCTTTGAGTTCGACTATTTTAGATACTTCCTATGAGTGGAACCATGCAGTTTTTGTCCATCTGTGACTGTCTTATTTAACTTACCATACTGTCTTCCAGATTCATCAGTGTTGTCACATGTAGCAAACTTTTCTTCTTTTATAAGGCTGAATAATTTTCCATTATATGTACATACCACATTTTCTTCATCCATGCATTCCTCAATAGAAATTTAGGTTGTTTCCCTATCTTGGCTATTGTGAATAATGCTGCAAGGAACATGGAAATGGAGATATCTCTTTCAGATCCTGATTTTAATTCTTTTGGATACATATCTGGAAGGGGGATTGCTGGATCATATAGTAGTTCTATTTTTATTTTTATTTTAGAAAACTCTATACTGTTTTTCATAGCAATGGCACCATTTTACATTCCCAACAACAGTATACAAAGGTTCAAATTTCTCCACATCCTCAGCAACAATGGTTATTATTATTTTTTGATAATAGCCATCCTAACAGGTATGAGGTGATTTCTCATTGTGGTTTTGACTTGCATTTCTCTGATGATTAGTGATGCTGAGCATCTTTTCATATACCTGTTAGCCATTTGTACATCTTCCTTAGAGAAATATCTATTCCAGTCTTGCCCACTTTTCATTGTTTTTTTTTTCCTATTGAGTTGTAGGATTCAAATAAACAAAATCAGAAATAAAAAAAGTGGACATTACAATTCATGACACAGAAATAAAAAGGTCCATAAAAACTACTATAAACAATTATGCACCAACAAACTGGTAATCTAGAAGAAACAGATAAATTCCTAGACTCATACAGCTTACCGGGACTGAACCATGAAGAAACAGAAAATATGAACAGACTAATAAGCAAGGAGATTGAATCAGCAATCAAAACTTCCAAGCAAAGAAAAACACAGAACCACATGTCTTCACTGGTGATTCTACCACACATTTAAAGAAGAGCAAACACCAATCTTTTCCAACTACTCCAAAATGATTGAAGAAAAGTGAACATTTACAAACGTATTTTGAGTCCATCTGATACCAAAGCCACACAAAAATCTCACAAGAAAAGATAATTACAGGCACAAATGTCCTTGATTAACAAAAATCCTCAACAGACTACTAGCACATCAAATTCGACAGTACTTTAAAAGGACCATACAGCATGACTAGGACAATACATCATGTACCACACATCATGGGATTCATCTTTGGGGTGCAAGGATGGCATGACATGTGAATCAATTAATGTGAAACATTACATTAACAGAATGAAGAATAAAAATCACATGATCATTTTAATGATGCAGAAAAAGCGTTTGACAAAACGTAATAGTCTTTCAGTATAAAAACTCAAAAAACTAGAGGTAAAAGGAATTTACCTCTACATAATAAAGGTCACATATGATAAACTCACAGCTCACATTATAGCAGATGATTAAAAAACTGAAAGTTTTCCTCTAAGATTAGGAAAAAGATGAAGAGTCTCACCTTCACCACTTCTATTCAATATAGTATTGGAAGTACTAGCCAGATCATTTAGGCAAGAAAAATAAATGAAAGGCACCTAAATTGAAATGGAATAAGTAAAATTGTCTCTGTACATGACTTGATCTCATATAGAAAAGCTTAAAGACTCTACAAAACAAACAAAACAAAACAAAAAACCAAAAAACCTGTTAGAAGTAATTTAAAAAGTAAGTATAATTGTAATATACAAAATCAAGATATAAAAATCAGTTGTGTGTTTATACACTAATAACAAACTCTCTGAAAAGGCAATTAAGAAAACAATCTTATTTATAAAAGCATTGAAAAGATAAAAATATTTAGGAATACATTTCACCAATGAGATGAAAGATTTGTACACTGAAAAAATATAAAACATTGATGAAAGAAATGGAAGAAGATATAAATGAATAGAAAGGCATTCGACGTAAATGGATTAGAAGATTTAATAGTGTCAAAATGTCCATACTAGCCAAAACAATCTACAGATTCGATGTAGTCCCTATCAAAATCCAATGGCATTATTTGCAGAAATAGAAAAAAAAATTCTAAAATTTATATGTAACTACAAAAGATCTTGAATAGCCAAAGTAATCTTGAGAAAGAAAAGCAAACCTAAAGGCATCACACTTTCTGATTTCAAGATCTATTACAATGCTACAATGATTAAAACAGTACAATATTAACATAAAACAGACATATTGACCAATGGAACAGAACAAAGAGCCCACAAATAAAACCATACGTAAAAGATTAACTGATTTCTGACATGCTTGACAAGGGTACCAAGCATGAACAATGGGGAAGAATAGTCTCCTCAACAAATGATGTTGAGAAAACTGGATATCCACATTGAAAAGAATAAAACCGGATATACGGAAACAAATTAGATATCCATATAAGCCATTCTGAGAAATCAGACTACTAGGAAAATCCTATTAAATGTAAGCCAGACAATCATATCACTTCTCTCTACAAAATCCTGTGATGACTTCCCATCTCACTCAAGAGGAAAAGCCAAAATAATTCATAACCAATAGCCTAACCCATTCCATTTCCATCTCTGTTACCTGTCTGACTTGATGTCCTACTTTTCTCTCTCACTCACTCCATTCCAATCACATTGGCCCCCTTGCTCTTCCTCAAACATGGCAGGTATACTCTCAACCCAGGGTCTTTGCACGCACTTCTTTCTCTTCCAGGAATTTAAGTATTTACCTGCATGTATTTACCTCTCTTTATGTTTTGACTCAAATCTAACCGTCTTAGTGTGTTTTTTCTTGATGACTTATTTAAAATTGCAACCCCTCTAGTACTCTTTATCCTTCTTCTCCTTGTTACTTTTTTGATAGCATGTTTGACTCTCTAATATAATATAATGTACATTTTATATATTTATCTACACATTTTTCTTATTTTCTGTCTCCCTCCAGTAGAGTATTACTTTGATAAGGACAGGGTGCTGTCTCCCTGGTGTGTAGAAAAATGCTTCACATATCTTGGGCAATTAACAAATATTCTTGGATGAATGAATGAATTTTAGGTGAGGTAACTGAACCTAGAAGAGTTAAACAACTTCACCCAGTGTTAGCAAACTTCATCGTAGCCTCCATCTTCTGATTCTATTGCCCAATATATCTTTTCAGCATGCTGCTTTACTCTTATAATATCTACATACTAAATTAAATTTGAAATTTTTTTGGTTGTCTGCTACTTATAAATGCTTATAAATAAATAGATTTGTTTTCTTATACAAAGACCACAGAATTCAGAGTATGGCTTTGACTTGTTGATTTCTCGAATAATCCCTTTGTAGGATTTGACTGTTTTCTTTTTTAAAATAAATCAATGCTAGAACCTAACATAGGCCGTAAAATTTTCAAATTAGCATGTTAAGCAGAAGAGCACATTAGACCAAGTTGTGCACACATATACAAAACTTCACTTTCTGGTTTTTAATGTAAATATTCAATTTACAGCAAATTTAGGGGATGTTTGATAAAATTTTTCAATGAGACCAGTAACATTATCTAACATTCTGACTTTCACTTCAAGCTGCAAGGTCCAACCTGTCCTTATACAATTTTGCCTGAGAATTTTAGTGTTTATCAGGGAATTAGGGAGAGAGAAAGCGTTAGACTATTTTCCTACCTGAACTGTGTATGTCAAGATGAAACCTATAGGGGTAGGCAACATTATATAATTTTACAAGTATCAAAAATATACAAGGTGATTTAACCTGTGAGCTTACTGTTTTGTAGGTCACACTTATGGGACCCTATAAGTTTGGTTGGTTAAATAATTGGTTAAATGATGGGTTATTTCCCCAAACCTGTGTTTTAAATATCTCAATCATTCTCAAGTGAACTGATGAACCAATGTGAATATTGATTCAGGGGAGCCCTGTAACATTTGTTACAAACTTGAGCTGTTTAAAGTAGACAATATTTAGACATATTAGTATATATCTACAAGATATTTTCTCTGTTTCTAAATGAGAATTAGGGTTACTTGACTGACAGTGAGCATCCTGGTGAAGCTTGGCAATTCATTTTTTTGTGCAAGTGATAAGGAATGAATTCAATTTAAAAAAGTGAGTGCTCAGCAATTTTAAAATTATAAAATGCTATTCCCTGTTCTCTCTTACTTTCAGCCACGTCTCACTCACGTTTATACTTGATGAATTTGCATGGGTTTGTCTTTCTCTTTGCTGTGAATGAATTATCTGTTTGTGAAGCTCTTCAGTGGAATTTTGAAGCTGTGCTTAGATATTGATGGAATCTCTCTCTCTCTCTCTGTCTCTTTCTCCTTTATCTGTATTGCTTTTAAGCAGAAAGAGTGTTCTAAACATTCCTGTCCTCAGTCAAATATTTCTAGATTCAAAGGGTTTGATGGGTTTGTTACAAGCTGTGTAAATTCAAGAAGTATTCAAAGCATAGAAAAAGATGACAAATGCTAAATTTCCTATGTCCTCTGTGACTGAACAACAAATAATGTGACAAAAGGTACCTCTGAATCTATTTCCTGAAAAAGTTTTAATCGAACATAAGATCAAAAGGAACTCCATTCTAGAACCATTTGGCATTTAATACTTTATATTAGATTAAAGAGTAAAGCTATTTCTTTTTTTTTTTTTTTTTTTTTTTTTTTGAGACGGAGTCTCGCTCTGTCGCCCAGGCTGGAGTGCAGTGGCGCGATCTCGGCTCACTGCAAGCTCCGCCTCCCGGGTTCACGCCATTCTCCTGCCTCAGCCTCCCGAGTAGCTGGGACTACAGGCGCCCGCTACCACGCCCGGCTAATTTTTTGTATTTTTAGTAGAGACGGGGTTTCACCGTGTTAGCCAGAATGGTCTCGATCTCCTGACCTCGTGATCCGCCCGCCTCGGCCTCCCAAAGTGCTGGGATTACAGGCGTGAGCCACCGCGCCCGGCCGTAAAGCTATTTCTTGATGTTTCCTATTTCAGTGTAGCAACAGCCGTCACCAGACAAATGCAATCGTTCAGAATTCTTTTTGGGCAGGAATAAATGACGCTGAGAACAGGGATGTGCAGATTATTTTCTCTTAGAGAACAATAAAGAGGAGGAGAGAGAAAGAGAGAGAGATTATGTGAACATCTAAATGTAACTTCAAAATTCCACTGAAGAGCCTCACTAATGGATAATTAGTTCACAGTAAAGAGAAAGACAAAACTCTATGGTCTTCAACCTTCTCTGGAATCACTGGAAGAGAGGGCTGCCTAAAAACTATTTCTGCACAGTAGCAAGGTCACATTCTGGTTAACCTGGGAGGGGTCACTGGCTCCACGCAGTAGCTAGGATGCAATAAGCAAGCAGTCTTGTCTCTTCAGGCTAATAGCTGCGCTCCCTCTAGTGGTCACAGTAGTGAACTGAAATCTAGCGGCTTGAAGACTTTAAACCAAAGTAAATAGACTGACACTGTTCTCTACATGTGGCTGCTGCTTCAGGCAAAGCATCTGGGAGTGGCTAAACACAGAGCCTCTGAGCCTCTCTATATCAGATGCTTTGATACACCTCCCGTTTTGCCAAGCAGGAGTCTGTTGTGGCTGAGGCCTTTGTAGGCAAGGAGTGCTTTGGCTCATTTTAAGCCAGCCTCACACTGATGTCTGCTGTATGGTGCATTTTATTATTAATGTTATTTGAAACAAGAGAAGATAGTGGAAAGTGTACTGAGTGGAGTGTCGGGAAAATTGCCTCTGCTCTGTGAGCTCGGGCAGATCCATGAGACTCAACCTCTGTGTGACAGTTTTTTTCACATCTAAGACCCCAGGGTGAAATGCGAAGCTTTTCTCCATTCGTTTATTTAATACTAACCAGGTGCTAGGCTGGGCGCTTTGTGGGGCTCAAAGGGTGTCAAGATCAAAAGAAAAGATAAAATTTTAATGTAAATATCTAAAATACATCATAGGAAGTACTAAATTTCATACCAGAAGGCCACAAGAGAGTTACACATAGAATACTGAGGGTTAGATAAGTACCTGGAGGAGGTAGGCCTGAGGAGGTGTCATGAATATTGGTCTGTATCAATGTGAGTATTGTCTCTCTGTCTGTTCTCTGTCTGTGTATACATGTTTAAACACAATATATAAATATATTAATGTATGCATATATACTATATGCATGTATAGTCAATAAAATGAAACCCATAATCGATAAAAAGATAGATGACCACTTGGGGGAAGAGGTTTGCAACGTGAACAGCAGATAAAGCTTCTATATTGTGGGAGGCAGAGCTTGCAGTGGGCCGAGATTGTGCCACTGCACTCCAGCCTGGGCGACAGAGCCAGACTCTGTCTCAAAAAAAACAAAAAACAAAAAACTTCTATATTGTTAATGTATAAGGAACTCTTACAAATGAATAAAAAAATTCAAACGTTTTAGTGACAAAATGGGAAATGGATATAAACATGCCCTTCTCAAAAAAAGAACATACAGATTTCCAAAAATATGTGACAAATACATCTAAGCATACTAGCAAATAGACAATTTAAATTAAATTTTAATTAGTTAAATTATTTTTAAATATTACTTATTCAATTGAATAAATTTAATTGTAACTAACAATACAATTAAAAATTCTGATTAAAGCAGTCATATTTGAAAAGTTTGAGGATCACTAGTATTGGTGAGGCCATGGAGTAAACAGGGTTTTAGACACTGATGAAGAGAGTATATATTGCTACTCCATCTGGAGAAAAGGCTGGTGATGAGTCAAAATGTAAAAGATTTGATTTTTAGGGGTATATCTTAAAAAAAAAAAAAAAAAAAACCTGAATGAACAACTACACAGAACTGTCTGAGTAATAATCTTCATTTTAGCATTTTGTGTAGTAGCAACAGAAACAAAAACCAACCAACCAACCCTAAATAACTTGCTCTTTGGGCGTGGTTAAATAATTGGGGAAGAGCCACATGATAGAGCATTTCACCATAAAAGGAAACTTCTTAGATCTGCATTTATAACATAAAAATACTTATAATATGTTATGGAGAAAATAGCTTATAAAAGAATATGTATAATATGCCACAGTTTTATTAAAATAGCAAACTACTTGTACATGTGAATTAGCATGGAAAAACATCCAGAAAATATAAATTAAAACATTATTATGGTGATCACTCAGTGCTGAGATTACAGGCAATTTTTATTTTCTTTTTATACCTTTCTCTCTTGTCTGTATTATCTACAATTATGAAAAATTACTTTTATTACTAAGCAAACCAATTAAGCAAGTTTTACTGAGGATGAGAAAGCCTGAGCAACTGGGGCAAATTCCCATGAAAATCCCTAACTACATCTTCCACAGTGTTTCCTAATCTGAAAGTACAATTTCCTGCTTCAGTTTATAGTACTGCAGAGGTAAATAAAGGGACTAACGAAAGAGATGCATCTTTTCACAGACCATAAAAGTTCCATTTCACTGGTGAAAAATTCTCTTTTCATGGCCCTTAGGCACTATATTAAGCCTCCATATGGATGAAGGTAGAAAGGACACTTGCAAAGACGTAAAGACCCTCTCTGAAGGAAGTATAATGACAGAGCGCTTACATGGTCAGGACACATCACCCTCTGCAAGTAGTCAGCCCCCTGTGAGCCTGGTGTGTGTGTTGTCGTCAGCATCAACGTGTGAGAGCTGAAGAAATGGCCAGTGAGAGTTAAGCCTAGGGGAAGTGGGTATGACTGATGACTGTGCAGGCCTTTCAGTGAGCTCAATGATGGTCATGACTGCTTATCTTAGAGCTCACGTCCTGATGTCTCCCCACTGGGCAGGTAGCACATTATCCACGGCCCCTTTAAGGATGCCCTTCTCTACTCTTGAATGTTGTTGTCAAACTTAATCTATATGCTGCCACAGTGGAGGAGCCAGACAGCCTTGTAGCTGAATCCTAGCATTACCATTTAGCGTTTATGTGATCCTTGGGCAAGAAACTGAACTCTCTAAAACCTCAGTTTCCTCATCTACAGAGCAGAGATAATCCCACTGCATTTACTTCTTGTGAAGATGAGGGGACACAAGTATAGTGCCTAGCACACAGTGTTCCAGAAATGAAAATTAAGCCATTTCCTGTATATTAAAACAAAGTGGTTATTAACTTCCATTAGTCAAAAGTTGGGTGAACAAATAATTTATTAAACAAATGAGATCACTTGTGACAGTGAAAAGGCGTGCTTTGGTTATGCCGAGGCAAAGTGTAATCTGAAGCTGGCGTGGGCAACTTGAGATGGATGGTCATCCTAGTTATAAGTTTCTTCATTTGATTTTCTGAAATTGTACAACGTTTACAGCAGTTGGTGCTTTATTATCAGCACTGAGTCTACGTGACTTCTCTAGGGGACATAGGTTGTGAGAATGTGAGAATTCCCTGAGCACGTATCCACAGTGTACTTTGTTGCTTTACTGTTCTTTGCAAGCACAGCAGTGTTTTCTTGGTATGTTATTTGACTTTATGTCTCAGGTGCCTAGCATACTGTACACACTAAATAAATGTTTAGTGAATTCATGACCAGATGCCATGGAAATATTAGGCTCAGATGCCAGGAAATGGCCCCAGCACTTTCCAGGTGGTTCGTAGCAGTGAGCCCAACTTTCTGGCGGCTGGATGATTGTACTCTTATGATCAGCCTAAGGCAGCAACAACCATCGCTGCTGTCTCTTGCGTGAAGAATAGTGGTTGCTGATTGCTGCCCTTCATAAGATGTTCTGGGGATTTCTGAAGGGGCTGGGACACCACCTGGCTTCCTTGACATCCTGTGGTATCACTCTACGTTGCTTGTTGAATCACGTTGTGTGTACTGGGCTGTCAGTTCTTTGAGAGCAAGAACCAAAATTGTTTTGTTTATGCTTGTGTTCACAGCCCAGAGAGCATACCGAACACAGCGCTTAATAAATGTTTGTGGAAAAAAATAAATAAAAATGGTAATAATGAAATAATTATGAAATAAATCAAAAAATAAATGGGAAGAGCGTTATAATTTTTCCTATAAATTCACTTATCTTTAGGCCTCATTTTCTTATCTATAAAATAGGAATAATAAGCTCACAGAATAACATAATGCATGCCCATCATCATGAGTCATTAGCACTATTAATAGTGGCTATGCTATTAGCTTTGGATTCAGAAGATCGGAGTTTGAATATAACTTTAATTAACTGCTAGATCTTGAAAGTTACTTAGCTTTTCTAAGTCTCAGTTTCTGCTACTGTAAAGATTAAACTAGATGTTGTGAAAAAGTTAGTATTATCTATTGCTCAATAAGTGGAAGATATCAATATTGTTATCCATGTCTAAAGTTGTTTTAAGGTCTCATAATTGCATATTTTTGTTTCTATTATTTACATAACATCTATAAAATAAAAGAGTATCATTAACATTCTTATTTACAATTAGAAAGCCAGGAAGATTTATTAAGTTTGGATCATTGGGAATTTAGAGTGAATTGATAGATATGATGTGTAGAAACGAACAGTAACTAAAAGTTGTATAGTATTTTATGGTGCACAAAATATTTTCACAACCACAAGCTTCACAACACAGGAATAAATTATGCGATGTTGGTATGTTTGTATGCATGACTGTGGATTGCATTTGTTCCTCATCACGTTATTAGGGAGCGCCCATGAACACTAAAAGCCATGTGTAACTCATTTACCTGGCTGACGTAAGAGGAATTTGATAGCTTCCAAAAGTTTCCACTCTCTTCCCTAGCCAGGAAATCAGAATGCAGGTGCATCAGAGAGACTGAAGAAAGTTTAATGTAGATTTGTCAGGTGTAGGGGGGAATATTTGAAGAGAAAATTCCTGTAACCATGTGTGTGTGTGCATGCATACACACAGGCATGTCTGTCTACACAACACACATGAGGAAGAGGTAATAGAAAGAGAAATGCTCTTTCTGCATTCAATGGAGAGAGAGAGAGAGTGGAGAAAAAAAATTGTAATGACTCATTCTGAGCCATGGAAGAATTTCAAAGCAAGTGCTAGAACTCTTTACTCTCCCGTCTTTAGAAGTCTCTCATTTACTTATTTACTGGTTTCTCAAATAGAATTTCTGAACACTTGTCAACTCTAACACTTTGTGTATCATCTTCTTGATTACTTATTGCTCACAGTTTCCATTTCAAACATCTTATTTCAGTTATTAAGTTTCTACTTAAAACTAGGTTGGAAGCAAGAATGAATAATTCAGTACTCATTTTCTTTATCCATTTCTTTCTGTACATAAGATATTGAGAAGAAAATTCTAAAGCATCCTACACATTTTGAAAAACATAACTAAGATATATTTCATGCATATGATCTGTGAGTTCCATTGTAAGTGCCAGAGACATTAGCACTTCTGGTCAGTTGGCAGAAACTTCTGTACCTTGAAAGGCTAAAAAAAAATTTTTTTTAACTGTTTTAGAGGAACACAAGTTCTTCAGAATACGGAAAGCAAGTATATTCTGTGAGCAATAGAGACTAAATATTTCCCCTTTAAAACTGAAGCTTTTCCAGTCAAACATTTATCAAACAGAGAAGTAGCTGGAGAGGCTAAAACTGACTGCTTTTGTCCAGTTTATACCCACAACTTCCTACGTTAGCCTTGAAAATGGTGACCTTTCTGACATAATCATCTTTAAATGTTTATTACTTATTTTAATAACAATCTACTTATCTCAAAGAATGTTTACTTTGTGCTATGAACATTTATTATCTCAAAGGAAGGTAGACTGATAAGAAATTTGGGGGAAAATTTTACATTTTAGAATATATAAATATATGATACAATTTAAATCAAACCTCTTTAAAGTAATTGTGATGTTTCTCTATGACATTGTACATGGCTGTAAATGATTTTGATTTGTGAAGTGATTTGCCTGTATAGGAGAATTATTAAACTGAGTTATTGTCAAACAGAAATTGAAATAGTTGATGAAAAGGTTAAAATAGTTTAATACTGTTTGACCTTATCTATCTATCTATCCTTCCATCTATCATCTGTCTATCTGTCTATCTATCTATCCATCTATCTATCTATCTATCATCTACCTACCTGCATATCTACCTAGATTCTAAATGTTCAGAAAGAGCGAAAGATCAGTTTCTTGCAAAAGTGGACCTGAATGACTGAATTAGAAATAACTGTGGGCAGATTTAATGTCATCAAAATACGTTGTTTAGAATGAAAGGAAAGATGTGTTAGGAAAGCTTTCTTCATAGTGTAATGCTGGCATAAGTAGCACAGCTGTGTTTGAATGGTAATTAATATCTGTAATGTAAATCTCAGTTGAGTAAATACTGGACTGAATACCAGAAGAAATGACCTGAGGGAACTTATATGTCAGGGAGTGATTAGTATATACTCTCAAAGAAATATGAGTTATAAATTTGTAATTATTTTTCAATTTTTAGTCAGCCATGAGGACACTGAGTCCTTTAGTGCTTTTCTGACCAAGTATCTCCCTATTTGACAGTGTCTCTTATTCAGTTGAGGGAAACACAACAGGCAACATTTTTTTCTGAAGGGTCAAAATCTATCTGTTTCCTATTTATCCCTTAGTAGATCCACGCCATCCAAGAGAACTGTCTGTGGTAATGGAAATGTTTGACATCTAGCTGATCCAGTAAAGGTAACCATTAGTCACACGTGGCTATTGAGCACTTAAAATGTGATTAGTTGGACTGAGAAACTGAATTTTAAAATTTTATTCAATTTTAATTAATTTAAAGTTAAATAGCCACCTATGGCTAGTGGCTGTGGTTTAGCACAGCCTCAGATTCACACTCTCCCAACTCTTTCGTCTACTAAGGGAATTTTTCTGAGTGGTTTAATTTTTTGCTAGACCTTTAAATCTTAGGCCAAAATGAAATTCCAGTCTGCCTGTCATTCAAACTACTGAACAATTGCTTTTATTCAGAGTCTTTCCACTGTCAGCCACTGCTATTTATGTCAATTAATAGACAAATTACTATTCGGGACCTCTTGTCTCTGATGATGGTCATGGTAACACTCTTCAAATTCCCAGTGGTTCAAAGCAAACATTATTTTTTAAGTAAGAGGTTTTATAGTCCAAATAATTACTTTTCATCAATTATGAAAGTCTAGGATTTGGCTTCGTCATTTTTCCATAAATTCAGTAAACAAAAGAATTCAAAAAATACTTGATCAATAAGTAGCTTTAATCATTCCATTTTTAAAACTTTCTTTAGTTTTACTTTGTATACCAATTCAGATTTGTAGGCCATCATCTATATGTGCCTGACAACCATTCTAGAGGCTACTGAGCCTTCTCTCAAATTCGAATTTTATTCCAGAAAGCTGCAAAAGAAATAATACTAACAAAGTCCAAGATTCTTTAAGATTTTTTATGTAAGTAAAATATGACATTTTAATCTAAATCAATATACTCATGTTTAGACGATTTCTTCCTTATTCTCAAAGCTTGAGGTTATTTTCTCATAGGCAGTTCAAAAAAATGTTGCAGAGGAGTCTGCTTGCTACAAGACAGAAATCTCATTCATCTAATGTTAAATTATAGATCTCAGTTCTGTAACTAGTTCAAGTGGGATAGAATTTAAAGTCTACCCCATTACACTGTGAAAGAAGAAATGGGAACTGCTGATGACATTAGAAGCAAAGGGACTTTGAAATGCTCTCAGCCTATCCTATCACACCTGAAGCCTCTCTTTATAATATGCTGCTATTCCTTGGATGTGTTAGAAGGTGGCTTTCAAATCAAATGAAGCAGAAAGCAGAGCTCCAAGGGGCCGGTTTTGACACACACACTCCCTAGCTAGGCAGGTCATCTACCTCTGCATTACAAAATCATCTGAAGATTACTAACAGTTCCAAGCTTCCATGTATTATCACCAGCCTATGGGCACTGGCTTCCATTCAGTATTTGTCTATGTGACTGTTTCAGCTGCCAAATTTTTGATATTATACCATTAATTTTTTCATTTCTAATAAATGAGATAATTTAGTGAAATCACATATTCTAGGCCCATTTTAAAAAACCCACTTATGTTCATGTGTGTATATGTCAGTGTTTATAGTGATGGAAAATCTCCAGAAAACAGGGCTGAAGTCCTGTAAACACCAAATGTTTTCCTTAAGTGAGTTCGTTTTGGGGAATGCTCTTTCACATGATTCTTGCACATAATTGCCTCACCTCTGGACTGCTGCATTCACATCTGGCCTGAGCCCCCATGAAGTGGGGGTTGGTTTTCATTGCAACTTGGTGGTAGTTTGCCTATGTGCTGAATCTGAAAAGGTTCAGCATAATATTTTGAGCAAAGGGTTGGATCATGACCATATTTCTCTCCCTGCTTCTGTGATGTTCTAGTAGAGCTAGGCATTTCTCTCTCGGTTTCTTTCCCTTTCTTCCTCCCTCCTTCCCCCATCCCCAGTTCCCAGTTGTGAGCAGGTTGGAATGAAGGGAACATGAGGAAGAAACACCTGCTACCCGCTGATTTAACTTTTTCTAGGACATGTGTGTGTATGTGTGTGTGTATGCGGTGTGTGTGTCTGAGTATAGGGCTGGGATCAAGGGAATAAGGGGAAGAAAACACCTGCTACTCTCTGATTTAACATTTTCTGGGATTGGATTTTTTTTATTGCCCTCAAGGCAGTATTTTGATGAAACAAAAAGAAATGAGGAATAAACTCAAATCAAGTTGCCACCAACTAAAATTGAGCAGGCAGGGTAAAAATAATGCTTCTCAGGTATTCTGACCTTGTTAATTATCAACAGAGTAGCCTCCAACTGTCTTGCAAAATAGAGTTCTCTTTCTCTATGGGAGGTATCTCAAATACTCAGACAACTATGGCCTTGGACTTGAAGCAAACCAAAGATGGATTTTCTTTCCACATCCTCTGATGGACCTAGAGAAAATAGGCATGGTACACAAGGCAGGGAAATTCATACCAAAAAATGAAAATAAAACAAATCCCAACTACCTAAAATGATTACTGTATATAGTGTTTGCTTAAGTTTCATAACTTATGTTTATTTTAATTTTAAAAAGATAAGAGACAGTTCATATCACAAGATATGTTAGGCAAGTCACTTTTACCCCATTTCTCATTTTCCTCTAAAGGGCGCTCAACTTCCACCCCACTGGCTAAGAGAAAACAGTGCTGGGAGATACTTCTTGTTTTTTTCTTCCTCCTCTCATGGCTCTTCCCCATGGGAGAAGGAGCAATGATCCTACCGATGACAGGGTAAAAGCTGGTGGTTTGACCATTGGTTCATATTTTTAGTGGGGCCATGTTAAGATTTAAAGTTTAAGTCACCTGTGCTGTTGTTCTTTTGGCGTGTAGGGAAGGCCAGAATTTCCTGTTTAGTGGCATTGTGGAGATGAAGGGGAGGCTCTTATTAGTATACTACCTCTATTCTCCTTAGACAGGAACAGGAATTCCTTTGTACTCTCTGGGTGGAAACGGTGTTGAAGTAATATTTTCTGCTCTTGTCCCTATCCTTTCTCTTTAAGGGGAGAGACATATCTGATTGACGATGAGAAGAAATGGGAACTGAGAGTACACAGTTCAGCCTCACTTTGACTTTCCCTTTTTCAGAATTTATTTACTCAAAATGCACATTTTTCCATTTTCCAAAAATTCAACTCACTGAGACCATCTCTGTACCACCCGGGTTGACCTGAAATTGGGTGGGGAAGTTCAACTCAGGGGAAAGTTCTCAGATCCCAACACTAATCAAACATTACCCCATTATTAAAACTTTTTTTTGCTTTCTTTATGATGCGATAGTCTATTTTCCTCAAATTTCTCAGGACTCCAAGGAAAGATGGGTGAAATTACTCTGGCAGCTTTCTTTAAGTAGAGGCAACTGAGGTGAAGTGCAAAAGAATAGGACAATTGGGGTGAGATTATCGCTGCTGGAATCCCAGCCCTGATGCTACTAGCATGGTTCTGACCTAAGGTGTGTCAGTTATTCTCCTGGGTCAGTAAAGTGAGGATAATACGCACCAATACTTCTCAGGGTCAAATGAGGACTCATTCATGGAAGTGTATAAAATGCATTTAAAAAAATCAAAAAGCAAATTTCGAAGAATATTTACTTTGTGCTATGAACATTTATAAGTGTTTCATGTATAAAGGCTCAAGTAATTTTCACAGCCCTGTAAGGCAGGCTCTGTGTTTTGTTCTCATTTTACACATGAGGACATGGAAACAGAAAGAAGCTTAATAACTTGTCCAAGGTCCTACAGTAAGTGACAGAGTTGAGATTCTAACGTAAATTGTCTGCCTGTAAGCCTGTATCTATGAAATACAATATGCATAAAAATAAACTTTCATATACCAGAAATACACATATATAATATTTTAGTCTATTTTCTACAATTCATTTGGCTTTGTTTTTCGTTAAGGTATTAGATGCCTTAGTTATTTGTTAAAATATAGTAAGACAAATAATATCACCTACTTTTTATTATTAAAGTAAGAGGAAGAATGCTGTAAATAAAATGTAGGTATGAAAAGTAGAAGAGTCTCACAAACCCCATCACATGATAGAAGTGAGATAGAATCAACAATCTCCTAAGTTGAGGGACGGATGATCTATTACCCTGGTCCTTTCTTGTGTTCTCTCTTTCCCTTCCATCGTGACTTTTGTTGTTGCTTTTTTTCCCAAGACATGATCAGGAGAAAAATATTTATAAGTTGTGATTTAATATGGATGTTTGACTCATGGATTCTGGTATACTAGAGCAAAAAGGAATTTTTAACCACCACCTGGAGAAAATTAGGACATGTAAGAGGTGAAGGAACTTAGGAAAGTGCTCAAGCCCAGAGCTTAGCATTGCCATAGATTCTGATGTTGCTTCAAATGCAATTGAAAAAAACAAATATAACCCAAATTAAAATTTAAATATCATATTGTGAGAACATCCACTTTTTGTGAACAAAAGAGTATGAAGGGAAGGCTCACGGGGTTCTCACATTTTGTATGTTGTGGATGTAAATATATATAACTCTGTAACATTGTGCTTTTCCTATGTGAATATATTTTCATTTTACTGGTTGATATTCACTTGTTAATAGTTACATATAGCTAACTTCCAGTTCTGAGACTGCAGACAATGTAGGCATTAATGCTTTATATCATCAAGCACATCTCTACCCACTAAAATAGAGTTTTGTATGATGTGAGCAATCCTTGGTAATACTAAGTGGATGTGTGCTCAACGTTCTTATTCTTAACCTTAATTCCCACCATACCTTCTAATAGCTACAAAGATCAATTCTAAGTGGTATTTCAAGACAATCCTCTGGCATGAGAACTGAGGCAACTCTTTTGAAAGTATTCATTAGTCACAAAACTGGCTACCCTGAAAGTATGATGATTCCATCAATATTCCTCAAAGGCATACATCACTCTGCTACTAACTGAAAGAACCAGAATTCAAACTCAAGGTGGTATTATCTCAAGGAAGATGCTCTCTCCATAATGTTACAAAGAATTCTAATACCAGTTTTTCCAGTTGCTAGTCTTATGCAATTGGGCATACTTACTCCAGTATATCATAGTCAATACTGTTTGGTTGCAAGTTACAGATATTGGCTTAAACCAGCATAAGTACAAGTGAGTAATTGTTGAGTTTTCAGGGATAGCCAGTGCAAACCAAGGACACAAAGTTCGATTTATGAGAAAAAGATACAGGAACTAAAATATCATCAGGAAACAGAGCAGCCACTCTTTTTACTATGCAAGGCCCAATGCTCTATCCCTGGCCAATTTATTCTTCTCTCTTCACAACTAGCTTTTACAACGTTTCCACATGCCTGCTAAAAATCACTGGAAGCCTCCATTGCCAGCCATGCTGCTAAATAACCTCTCAGCTTTACCAGCATTGGTCCAATTTTGTCATGTGTCAAGGAACCATTCCTGTTGGTGGGGGCCAGTTCCAAAGGGAGGCATGATGGGTAGACATCCAAACTTACAGTATAGCATGTCTACATTTCCTCACTGGAAAATGGGAAGACTACATTAGATAATAGTAAAAATAATAACAATTGATATTTACTAAGTCTTTATTCTGTTTTAGACACTTGGCTAAGTCATTCACATGTATTATCTCATTAAACCTTGTAACAACCCTAAGAAGCAGAAAGTTTATTGTCCCATTTTATAAGTAAGATAAATGAGGCACTGAGAAGTTAAGGAACTTGTTCAAGATGATCTTTAAAATTTCCTTGTAGTTCCAAAATGCAAACATACACAGTGTTACAAAGATGGATTAAAATAATAAAAATAATATAAAAGCATATTTTATTTCTTAATTTCAGGTCATTTTTTTTCCTTAAAGAAAAAACTATGGCCTAAACAAAAAATGGCTAGAATATATCTCAATGATAAGATTAATTAAATTTAGATAGTTATCATTCTAAAAGAACAGGACATGGTAAGAATGATAGATGAAATAAAGTTATTGTCAAAATAGTGAGTCAGACATCCAGAAAGAAACAAAAGTCTCCAACTATAAAATGTGGAGTTTTTGGTTAAAAAAGAAAAGAAAATATGAAACAATTTAAGTTGAGTTTCTCAAGCTTGAAAGATATATTTTTCCTGATGGGTATATTTCAATCTTGTTTTACAACGATAATCATGTTATGTTAAGAGTAAGTTACGATGCTCCATTTAGAATACCATTTGAAAATGTTCAACTCTATGCTTAAGCTTTATTACCTCTTTTAAATGCAGCACACTTGAAAATGTCTGGAAATATAGTATTTCCCAATAAGTAAAAATGAATGGTCAATGAAGCAATTTTTATTTCCATACTGTATAATGAATAGCTTTTCATTACTGAAAGAAAATGATACAAATTCAACAAAGCTTATACATTGGTAGTGAAGTATCCTTCACAGTTTCACTGCAATATACCCTCTAAGTGGATTTGACTAAAGAACCAAACTGCATTTTGCATCTAAAAACTGTAGTAAAAAGGAATTTTTCTTGCTAAAAGTATTATCATAATTAAGGATGAAAATTATTATTATAGGAAGGCAATAGTCATTAAATAAATTAAAAGCATCTTTGAACCTTTTCCATATACATATATTATATATATATATATATTTAAAATTGCCATTGACTGTACAAGTATTAAACATTTACAGAAACTGTGGAAAGCTGAAGGGAAGGACTGGCTTTTAGAAAACAAGGATCATTTTATCACTTATAAACTACATTAAAATACAACTCAGAGGAAAAAAGAGCTATACAGAAAAGTCCAACTTACCCAAGATTTCTTATTTAATCTCTTCTTTAATCTTACACATCAGGTGTGCATAGCTATGCCTAACCCAACTTTGATTCAATAAGAAGTCAATGCCCAGACATTAGTTACTTGTTAGCACAGAGAAAAGTGAAAGCAGAAAGACTAAACTGAAAAACTAAACTGAATGAATTATACAAATATTTTTAATAAATCAGACTCTTAGCAGTATTACTCACATTTGATTGCCTATGAAAATATTAAATGGGCAATAAGAGTTTTATTCAGAAATATTAAGGTAAAAAATCTTAACATATAAATGATCATCAGTTAATATACAGCAAAGGGAATGTAAAAATTTATCTGGAATGTTATAGTCCTGAGATCTGAGGAATCCAGTCTTCCAGTTTAAGTTCTACAATCCCAAATCCTGTAAATTGTATATTATTTACACAGGTTACAACAAAGTATTTTTAAAATATTCTAATTGACTTTGGCAGTCCCTTAATTTGAATTCAAGAGAACAGTTATTGAGAAAAAGAATTCTTTTTATCAAATAAAAAAATTAGCCAGGCATGGTGGCGGACACCTGTAATCCCAGCTACTCAGGAGGCTGAGGCAGGAGAACTGCTTGAACCTGGGAGGTGGAGGTTGCAGTGGGCCGAGATCACGCCACTGCACTCCAGCCTGGGCGACAAGAGTGAAACTCCATTTAAAAAAAAAAAGAAAAAGAATTATTTTTTTCAGTAACTGACTGTGTGTGTGTGTGTGTGCACACTGCATGGGGTAGAGAGATTACTTGTGGGGGAAGAGAGAGAGAGAGTATTATGCATGATTTAGCAAATGGAGTTTATAATTGTAGCTTCTCTTTTCATGAATGCCAATTTAATAATTTAATATCAGGAGATTTCTAAAGCTTCTGTGTAGGAATTATACAGAAACTAGTACCTAACAATTTGTAAAACAGGCACTTACTAAATTTTCTAACTACTCTTAGTAAATCTGTATTAATTAAAATATTAATACATTTACTTCAATCTCTACTACTGAAAGATAATCTTGCTTTATTCTTTGGGAATAAAACTCTTCCAATTTAAACCATAATACATCCTCAATTCATTAGTAAAATGATAGTTACAAAGCACCCAGAAAAACTGCTGGTTAAAACCTATTTCCATTGCTAAGAGATTACCCAAGTTCTTTCATTGTGTTGTAATTTTATATCAATTGCTACTTAAAATATAATCTTAACTAGTTAGTACCTGTAAATTTTATTATGTAGTGGGTTTTTGGCCATTGTGGGGTGCAATCTGTAATAACTAGGCATTGATTCAAATTAAGAAAGGTAATAAACAGGCATTTGGATATAAGAAGGCTAAGAAGTGATACTGGGAATTGCCAGAAGTTTTGGTTGATACAGCTCTAGAAAAAAACCTAAATTTAGAATTTCACCAAATCTACCAATGAAAAAGTTTTCTTTATTGAAAAACAGTACGATCAGGATGGTGGCCACACTCTGGCCCCCTTCTATCATATACTTTTATTTTCAAATGTTTGAGAACATGTATTAAAAAGTAATTTTATCCTCCATCTCACTTTGAATCTTTAATTTTATGCTACTGTAAGAACTAGAAGAAAGCATGGTAACTCAGGCACCAGAACTTCACTCATTTTTTTTAGAACTGGTGTGTCTCACTCACAGAATTAACACACACCCACACCAACATTTGTGTACCCCAAGGTGTCAAAGAGCTTCTTTTCATGAGTTATTCTTTTAATGGGTTTGCAATAAAATACCACTTAAACCAAAGCGAATGCCATACTAATTTACAAACAGCGAAGTATAGGATGTTCTTTCATTTAGTTTATTAAAAGAGGGACTTACAGTGTTTTTATATCTATCACTATCATTCCTTCAAGGAAGACGGGTGTGAAATAGCTGGAATTATAAACTTAACCCTTCCAGCTCATGGCCAGCCTCTTCATTTTACCAGTGAGGACACTAAAGACACACAGGTAACACAGTGCCTTTCACAAAATAGATGCTCAAAACATATTTATTAAATGACTGAACCACCATAATTAGCTACAGGCAGAGACAGAACAAACTCCACGTCTTCTGATACTGCACAGCCTCCAAAATGGCTGAGATATTTCTAAGTATCAGATAAGACGGAACTAAAATGAGGATTAACCACAGATTAACACCAACAATGATCTACGGCCTGAAAGCATTTCCATCACACAAATAAATATAGTGAGAAGAAGGATATTGAAATAATTTTGAAGACTAAAGTTATAAGAGGACACATATATGTATGTGACACATAGAAATGGAAAGCAAAGACAAACAAGTGTCTATATTTGATTCCCATACCTGACGAATAATGTTTTGTAAGCTTTGCTAACTTGTAGATTTCGTGACTGAGCCAAAAGCCCTGATCTATGTGAAAAAGTGCCTGACTTAGATGTGACTGAAGAATGATATTCAATATTTGGTTATGGTTAAATTGGTCATTTAAGAAGATCTTCAATATTCTACCAGTTTTTGGGCCTCAACATCTACCAATAACTTCATAGGAAGTAAAGGCATATCAGGAGAATTAAAGAGTTAATGGCTTTAGGAAGGATTTTTAAATTCAATTTAGAATAAATAAAAGCATTTGTGAAAAAGAAGTACAAAAGAGGAATTACACTTGTGTTTTCAAAAACTAGGTTTCTGATTCCTTTT
Organism: Homo sapiens; assembly: GCF_000001405.40. Lineage (NCBI taxonomy): Eukaryota > Metazoa > Chordata > Mammalia > Primates > Hominidae > Homo > Homo sapiens. The sequence goes on along the minus strand of NC_000004.12, from coordinate 81,054,337 downwards.
TCTGGTAGGAAATGAAATGAAAACAACTGTATTTGCAATTAAATAGCTGGGTCAAGTGGTAACTCTCTGTATATGCTCTTGAATTATTCTATCATATTTGGCAAAGTTCTTATAACTGAATGGTGTTTGCCAAAATACAAAATTAAAAAAAATAAAGAATCCTGTGTAAACTGAATTATAAAACCATATTAAGCAAACCATCCTACAGAGGGCACAGGCACCTGGCGCATGTACGCACATACATACACACTAACGCTCAGCATAAACTTTCCATTACACTTAGACAATGACTTGTGGAGGAAAAACAAGGATAAACAAGAGTCTCAAGAACTTAAGAAAAACATCAGAGTTGATTATTTAGCACTTTCTCAGGATTCTAAGGCAATAAGCCTAATTCAAAACGCGAAATTGTTCTCTATTTCCCATTAGTCATTAAATGAGATAAATGACAAGCTATTGCTGCTTCTCCATTCTGTTTTCAAAGAACATTACAAAAATAAACCAGTGTGTTCTCTAACAGTTCTAAAAACAGTTTGATAAGTTGTTGTGTTTGATTACAAAAAGAGAAATAGATGTCCATATTTACTAAAAATCTTGCTTTAAGTTACATTCAGAAACAAATACAGTTCTTTTCCTTGGTGGCAATCTTCAGTCTATTTGCTCATTCCCCTCTGACTATAGAAATAATCTTTTGAAACAAAATGCATTGGCAGTGCAAAAAAAAAAAAAAAAAAAACAGGAAGAAGTCCATAAAAATAAACTAATGATTGAATTAAGCATTCAAATGAGTTCTTTGCCAGGTTATCTGCAAGCGCAAGACTCTACTGTCATGTTAGGGTATACTTTAAGCACTACATTCTTATTTTCATCAAAGAATAAAATACTGAGTGAGGACATCTTTTCTGGTACACAGCAAGGCTCAGGAATCCCAGGAACGACCCCCACAGCTCTCACTATACTCTGGATGGTAGCATGATTTGATGGCTTCAAAGACTAGAGAAAGAAATGAAAGAAGAACACATATGTTAGGTGGAACTGCGTTTCCACTCCTCAGTCCTCATTACACAAAATGCTTATCTAATGAATTTGTTTCAACAATTTAATAAAACCTCTGGCATCATTATACATTAAGCCCAATCGCCTATCCCACCACTACCAAAATGGTTATTATTTATTAAGTGCCTGCTGCATTCCAGGCATATTATATGTAGTATCTCTAATTCTCACAACAAAGCTAACATTTCTTACATTTTACAAAGGCTCAAAAAGCTTAAACGACTTATCTAAGTTCAAATAGCTTGTAAATGGTAGAGGATTTAAACCAAGTTATCTCAGCAAGAATCATTTAATTACAAACAACTTAGCCCCCAAACATGGAATTAATACACTCTACGGTGTTTTCAATAACAGGATTGAAACAAAAAATGATTCGTTATTGACCCTACATTAATCAAAATCCTAACAAGCACTCTATTTAACAGAGATACATTATTGCCACTGCTATATTGATATTTAGGCATTGTTGTTAAAATAAAACCAAGCAGGTCAGAGGGGTATTGATTTATTTAATTTAATAGTTGCCAAGATGGATTGGATGGTTACTATTCCACTATGTAATTATTCAACTCTCCTTAGAAGTACAAACTGGGGGGTAAGAAGACCACACCATTGGCCACTGGGGGTCACTGTTGCTCCACTGGTTTAGAATTAGGCATGGAGTTGTGTTCTAAGAGTGGGCCACGTCCTCTGGGAATTCCCTCTGGGAATTATGAGGGCCTAAAGTTATCCTATGGATACCAGAACTTTCACCAAAGAAGCCTGAGTAAGAATCTTTTCCCTGAGAAAATGCCAAATGGGACCACTAACATTCATGTGAAGCATGTGGTTTTATTTAGAGAACCCCATACAGCTCTGCTCTAGCTAAAAGTACTAAAGGAACAGTCATTTTTGCAAGTCCAGAATGTTAGGTATTGCCAGAGTGGTAAGAACTTCCTAAGAGATGCCCCACTGTGCAACACCTGTGTTTCTCGATTCCTCTTTTAGGCAGGTGAAAGTAGTTTTGTTTTAAACACATTGAGAAACAGAAGTTTGGTAACTTGCCAGAGACCAATTCAGGAGTAGGACTTTGACCAAAACTTTCGCTTTTTAATTTCAGAACTTTGAGCCATGTTTCTCATGGCTCAGAGGAACCCCGCCCCAGTGGATTGGTATTTTAATTTCAAACTCCTAAAGCTCCCAGCATGGGAAACTGGAACAAGTTAAAACTTTAAGGGTATATACAAACCAAGGGAGAAGACAATAATATAGAAAGCAGGCATACTCTTAAAAAAAAAAAGAAAAAAAGGATTATTTTTGGCAGAGAAAGGTTAAATCTCATCCCATCTTTTAATATCAATGAAATAAAATCCATACATCAGACTTCAACTTTATTGTGATTAGGCATAAGTAACTAAATAATTAGACTTAATGATGGGCAACTGTTCTTACTTTTTTTTCCTAGAGATTTTCAGTATATGTTAAAAAGACTGGTTAACTTTGAATTAATTAGCTTTAATTCATTACAAAGCAAGTTATTCCTCCCTTGAGGAGAGGAAGTCCATGCTGTTTTATTTTGCACATTGTATGCCCTGCATCACCAATAATATCTGTGTAACTTACACAAACTACAATCAGTATTGTACAACAAATGTCAGTAGCCATTGCTTGTTATTGCTATTGGTAATTTCTAAAGAAAGCTTTTGCAGCCATCCACTTTTCTCTACTGATTTAAAGTTATTTTTATGACTCAATAATCTAAATAGCTTGTCATAAAGCGAAAACTTTTAAACTAGATTTTCCAAAATTATTCTGTTATTTTAATGTTTAATGACTCCTATAATATTTGAATTTTATACAAAGTGGATCAACTTAATTAGATGAGACCTTGGGTGCTAAATTCTCCTGTGCATTGCTGTTCCTGAGCACCTAGTATAATCTAGGCATGGAACAAATGCTTGTTAAATGGATGAAATACTTAAAAGAAACAACATACCCTCCATTTTTATCCATTTCTGTGGAAATAGTTCCTATCAACACAAATACAAGTTTCTGTGCAAATGACCTGGTGTAGATATGGATAATATTCATGGGTGTTTCCTAGGAAAATTCCTGTCCTTTTTTTTACAGCTTCAAGTAACAAATGATAGATTCAGAAACTATGAGTATATGAGTAGTCTCTAGTGGGCTCACTGGAATTTGGACAGAAGCCCCTGATTCTGCATTGGTGTATCTTATCAGGAACCTCTCAGATTACTAGGAAGTTTCCCCTGCTTTTTTTTTTCTCACTATGAAATCCTCTGATCAACCTGCCATTAACAGAAATAATTACATCGTGCACAAAAGATCCATCCGGTAATTTGCTGGTGTAAAGCATATTGCCAGTCCGGAATTTCTGTTTGTTTCTGAGTTCAGGTCATGTTTCTCATGACTCTTTATTAAACAAGTTAAAAAATTAATATATCAATTACTAATGCATATCTGTGGTATTTGCCTTACCAGCTCTTTCTAATGAGGGTGAAGCACGACTTCAATAGCAGTTAGGTAATTTTTTGCTTAAGTAACTTAGCACATCAAGATTTAATGTTTTTGGAGTTCATTTTTATGACCAGAGATTAGAATTGGAAGATTCAGGAAATTAATTGAGGTTGTATCATTTTGAACGCATTAAATGTGAATTTCTTCTTTGTATGGAATACTTGGTTCAAAGTGTTTAGATTCTTTGCTGCCTAATTCTATGTGTTTGCTATTTATAGCTTTTGCAAAATTCCTTGAAAAAAAAAAAGCAAAACTAACTTCTCTTGGATCTTTGTCAGTGACAACAGCTCAATCACTTTCATTTGAAATTTCTGTTTTCCATCTCTTCTAAGGTGATGAGGAGAGGCAAAGGTATAGAACTTGGCATTAACTGTATGGGTATTTTTCATCTCATGGCAGAATTCCAAGAATCTCTCTCTGGGAGAACAGATTGGCTGTAAGGGCTAGAAATCAGAAAAATCCAAACTGCCGTGTCTGTGAATGAAATCTACAATGGTCAGGCCTGCACCTGCCAAGCCGTGTATGATGTCCTCGAGTTGAATTTGATTACAAATGCATTAGCAGGGGAGAGCATGTCATCAGCTAAGAGCCTTCATTCCTGACCTGGGCCATGGAGTTTTACTCCACAATTCTTCCAGTCCAGCCCACATGGGTGTGATAGCCCAGAAACTATCTAATTGGAATCAGTGAAAGGGCAAAGCCTGGAATTTGGGAAAGGCAGAAAGAACACAGCTGTTCTGAATTAGAGAACAGGTTGTCAACTTTTGCAGACAAAAAGCCCTGCCATATAGAACACTCTTTGGCTCAGGAGGCCAAAAGAAAGGAGGGCCAACAAAGCAGTCTAGCCTGGGGGAACTTTCTCTGGGGCAAAAACTATATCTAAAGTCTGAAAGGTCTTTGGCACCTCAGTTATTCCACATGTTTTGTACTGATCTGACCAGTGGCCTTGATTCTCCTCTGTTGCTTAGACTATATTTTTATTTACAAAGTTCACTCTGGTTGCAGTATTGGACACGGTGCAGATAACAGGGATGTTTATTAATTACCCCTAATGTAGCAGCTTCATTTGGCTGCATGTTTCCCATCTTTTTGGTCACCGTACCACTTGAAAGACACAAGGCGTGGAAGGCTTAAAGGGAACCACTAGAAAGCTTTAAAAGTTAAACAGATACACACAAGGTGATGAGAGATTGAGAACTCTATGTAACAGCCAAACTTCCACTCTCAACTTGGCAAAAGGAAATCTGAAGCTCAGAGAGAAAGCTCCACACTTATCCCTGTTATGTCTCCCTGGAGTTCTGATGCCCTTCCAAGTTTTGACAAATATTATGATGAGTTCAGTTGCTGCAACTGATGCTCTCCTGATTCTCTTACTCTCCAAATAAACCTCCCTGGAAGAGCTCACGGGCGGTTGAATGCAAAGGGAGAAACCTATTTTCAGCTTTGTGATGTTTGAAAAGGGACTAGAAACATTTAGAAAACATTTTCCTGCCTTACAACTTTTATTCTCTTGATCTCGTTTCCTATGTAGTCTTTCTTCAGAGTCCTACGTTTGCTTTTCTTTCTCCTCAGTCTCAGAAATGGCCGTGAATAATAATGCCAATAACAGGTATTTATTGATAACCTACTATGTGCAAGGTGCTCTACTGTCTCATTTTTCCACTGTTTTTGTTATATAGAAACTATTATTTTTACTATTTACTATTTGACCCATTTCAGACTGTAAAAATAACTTGTAGAGAGTCTGAATAACTTCTCCAAAGAGTCATAGCAGGTAAGTGGTAGAATCAAGATTCAAGTTAAAAGGATTTGACTTTTATTTTTGCTACTCAAAGTGCAATTTGTGAATCAGCAGCATCTGCATCACCTAGGAACTTGTTAGATATGCAGAATCTTAGGCTCTACTCCTATATCCACTGGATCAGAACCTACATATTAACTAAATCCAGGGCAATTTGCCAGGACATTAAGGTTTAAGATGCCCTGCTATGACCAAGCGTGTACATTTAATTATTCTTCTGCACTAACATACTTCTCTCCTTAAATTTATTTCTGCTATTTTTACCTTATTCCTCATCAATTCTTAAATTATTATTCTTTAGATCACTGAGAAACATGATGGAGCTCTTCTGAAGTAACAGCAGGTTTCGGAACAGTAAAAGCAGGTAGAACCAATAAATGAGAGGGACAAATTGGAAGTAATTGTGGTGGGGTGGATACCAAATCAATTCTCCAGAGCTAGAGGTTCAAAAGCAAACTAACAGAGTATCTCTGCATTATCATGGCTTCCTGAGTCCTGAAGATTGTAGTCAGGAGAAAAGGGAAAAACTACTTCCCCAGGCTACCCAGAATATATTACCCTTTATAAGTGAGAGGGATTATTTGGAAAACTTCGAGACCCAACTAAAGTCAGTCATCCTGGGTTTAAAGACAGATATTGAAACCATTCTTGCCTCTCAATGCCACAAGGCAAGCCACACTGTAAAATAAAGACTCATCACTGCTTGTTACATTTGTCATCTTTGTTGTGTGTGTGTTTTTTCATGTTATCTCATTTGAACAACTTTGTTTGATCAGTAAAATATCCTTTATGAATATTTAGACAAGATAAGGCTCTTTATATAATTGCAAGTGTATAGAATTCGTACTTTGTGTTTGGGTTTATGAAACATAAAATGATCAAAAATCCTTGGGAAAGAAGGGGTCTTAGAGAAGTATTATTACAAGAAAATAAAATTTCAATCAAGTTTGTGGCCCTGAAAAGGCTAACCCAGCCTTGTGCTGTCAGCCCTTTGCTTTTTTTTTTTTTTTTTTTTTCTCTTCAGAGTCAGGGTCTCGCTGTCTCACTCTGTCACCCAGGCTGGAGTGCAGTAGTGCAATCAGAGCTTACTCCAACTCTTGGACTCAAGTGATCCTCCTGCCTCAGCCTCCAGAGTAGCTGGAACTACAGGGGCATGCCACTGTGCCAGACTAAAGCCCTTTGCATTTATGTTTGTTATGCTTGTCATCCCAATGATTATAACCAAGTGCTACACTTGGCTAGAACATGAAAACGCTATTTTAGAGATGCATAAGCAGAAGTTGGTCATTTGTTGAGACAAAGGATTTTTTCTTCATTATCATACAATAGCAAAAATGGACTTGTTTCAAATTTTGAAAGAAAAAACTGTATTCTTCCTCTGAATTCTGTTCCTTCAGCAACTTTTTTTTTTTTTGGTATAACAGAGATATAAACTGCTACAAGCTGAGAATGGAAGTGCACCAATAAGCTTAACTGAAGGCTGAAGAGTGCCACTATATTTTACTATAGAGGGTACTACTTAAACTGTAAATTCAAAGAGAACAGTCACTTGAACTTGCCGTGCAAGTTGGAGGTGGGGGTTGGAGAGACTTCTGCAAATATATTTGTCAGGAGACTGAGAACTGATATGATGAAGTTCAGACCTTATGGATTTTCGAGGAGATACAGGTAAGCTCCGAAAGGTTGAAATTAGTCTTGGCAAAAGTTTACAGAGTCATCATATTCTATGTTGCTTTCCTTTTCTGATGTTTAGCAATGAAGCAAATGAAATAAGCACGTAGTGGATTTCATGAGGCCAGTTTACCTGAGTCAATCCTGATCCTGACCTCTGTGGGGACAACTTAGCTCACAAGAGGGTATTTATTAAAACATGTTCTGCATTAGGGCATCAATCCCATCAGCTCTTCTCTGTGCTCCCATGACATTCACTTATTCCTTGAATACTCTTCCAAGGTCAGCCTTCTACCATTTGGGGCTTGCTTACATGGACAGGTGCAGGTTCACACACAACCATGTGGCTGAATATGCACCATGTTGAGAAGCAACACAACAAGTATGTTTCACACATGTTTTTTTCTCATATCCTTCTTTATACCAATACTGACTTCATATGACTTTAACAACCATTAAAGAGAAACCAAGAATAACCATATTACCTATTATGGTTTAGAATGTAGTAAATAAGGGTCCCAATGGATTTTGCAAATGGAAACACAAACACTTACACAAACCCCCTATATGCACACTAACTTAGTCAATGTGTCTTTCTACTAATGGAAATAGGAAGTAAGTACAGGACAGAGAACAATGGCTACCTTTGGCATGGGGAACTGGCATGCTCCAGAGCAATAATAGGCATCAAAGGACTTGGGGGAGATAATCCATTCACTCCAGCCAATATCTGCAAAGTCTACCTTGAGGTATCTCCTGGCGCAATTCCGAGGTTCAATCCACTGCTTTCTCCTTGCCTTTTTCAGGGTCTGCTCATCAAATTGGAGCGTCTGGCTCTTCCGATGAGGCCCCTTTCTCTGTTTCTTTTTATTCTTACTCTTTTCAGGGGCCTGAGCCTGAAGGGTCTTGTAAGGCTTTCTCTCCTCCCACACCTCATCCTTTTTATACTGGTATTCTGCCCCAGGAAGCTCGTTGTTCTGCAGAGGCAGCAAGACCCCAGTAGAGCGCTTCTTCCTCCGCTCAATGGAAAGGGCAGCTCTGATGTGGCTATCCCATTTGGGAACAGTTCCAGTGGGAAAATTCCGGTGTCCCTGTAAGCTTGATACCACACTTTCTGGCTCAGAAATGGCGGCATCATTGGCATATACCAAGATATAAGGCTCTGGAAAAGGTAACCTCCTCTTTGGCAGCTGGCGTCCCTTGGACGTAATGTTAAATCCTATGAGGAACTCTTCATTTTCTTTGGCCTTCCTCAAGAGTTGAGTGATATCTTTAGACAGCCAGGACATAATATCTCGATGAGATTTGGCCATATCCACTGACAGATGGCCAAGGAGTTGACTTTGGTTTCTGCTGAATTTGAGGGTCCATGCAGAAAGATCAATCTGAATGTGTTTCCTCTGAGCATGATGGGAGCATCCTCCAGACACTGGACAACTCAGGCTGATGTTTCCTAGCTCTCCAATACAGAAATACAGTGTGGCAGACAAAATGTTTTCAGACTTGGTTAGCGATGTCAGATTGAAGATATACAGTCCTTTTCTTTCAAGAGTTTCTAGGAAGGAAAAAGAAAGAGAGTAAACAGGAGAAAACAAGACCATTACTTCACTATATGACAATTAACTCAAAATGAATCAGAAACCTATATATAAGAACTAAATCCATGAAATTTTTGGAAAGAAACCTAGGGGTAAATCTTCATGACTTTGAATTTGGCAATGACTTCTTAGATATGAAGCCATTCTTAGATATGACACCATAAGTGTAAGCAATAAAAGAAAAAGTAGATACATCAATAAAATCGGTAAATTTATAAAATAAACTGGACTTCATTAAAATTAAAAACTTTTGTATATCAAAAGACATTGTCAAGAAAGTGAAAAGACAACTTCCATAATAAGATAAAATAATTGCAAATCATACATTTGATAAATCTAGTATCCAGAACATATAAATAACAGTTACAACTCAGCAATAAACAGACCAAGAAACCAAATAAAAATGGGAAAATGCCTTGAATAGACATTTCTTCAAAGAAGATATATAAATGGCCAAGAAGCACATGACAAGATGCTCAACATCATTAGCCATCAGGGAAACACAATCAAAATCACAGTGAAGTACTACTTGATACACACTAGGATGACTATAACAAATAAACGAAAAAACCCAGAAGGTTACTGAGAAGGTGGAGAAATTGGAACACTCTCAAATTGCTGGTGGGAATGCAAAATGGTTCACCTGCTGTGGAATACTCTTTGGCAGTTCCTCAAAAAGTTAAACATAGAATTATTATGATTCCGCAATTGCTCTCCTATGTATACACGCCAAAGAATTGAAACAGGCACTCAAATAATTACATGGTTATAGCAGCACTAGTCACAATAGCCAAAAGTTAGAACAGCTCAAATGACTACCAATGGATGAATGGATAAAGAAATTGTGGTATACCCATACAATCAAATATTATTCTTCCATGAAAAAGAATGAAGTACTGACACATGCTACAATGTGGATGAACCTTGAAAAAACTATGCTAAATGAAAGCAAGACATGGAAGATCACATATTGTTTGATTCCATTTATATGGAATATCCAGAATAGTAAAATCCATAGAGACAGAATCAGATCGGTGTTTGCCAGAAGCCAAAGGGAGGGGCTAATGAAAAGAAACTCCTTAATGGTTACAGGGTTTTGTTTTAAAATTGTGGAAATATTTTGGAACTATATAGACTTGGTGATAGCACAACATTGTGAGGGTATTAACTGTCATTATATTGTTTACTTAAAATTAGTTAAATTTATACTATGTGAATTTCACCTCAATTAAAACAAAGCAAAACAATTATGCAGTCTCTTGCTTTGGAGGCTTCCTGGAAGTGGAATAAAAAGAGAGTAATAAACAGGAATAATTTTAAAAGACAAAAAAAGGTTAGCAAGGATCAGCCATTTTAATTACTTTGCTCTTTCCTTTACTGAAGCACCATAAATGTGTGAAAATTTTAACGGAGAAATAAACTTAAAGGGGTGAAAGCTCAGAGTTATGGAGGATTGTCAAGACTTATTCCTACAAATTTGGCAATGTATTGTAATAGCTTTTTATCTGAGGCACGTATAGCCTACGGGCTACAAACACAGGGTTTGGAATTACACTCACCTTGATTCGAGTACTCGCTCAGCCACTTACCAACTTCACAACATTATACAAGCTAATATTCTCATTCACAAAATGAGACAATATCTACCTCCCATGTCATCAGAATTAAATGAGACATGTATAAAGCAGTCCATAAAGTGTCTGTGAAGTGTTTCTTAAATATCAATTATTATTGTTATTAGTTCTGGTATTAACAGTCTTACAGGGATTACATCTTCTTCTACCTACTTCAAAAAATGTAGGATGAGGCCAGGTGCAGTGGCTCATGACTGTTATGCCAGCACTTTGGGAGGCCAAGGCAGGTGGATCATTTGAGGTCAGGAGTTCAAGACCAGCCTGGCCACCATAGTGAAACCCTGTCTCTACTAAAAATACAAAAATTAGCAAGGCGGTAGTGGCACACACCTGTAATCCCAGCTACTCGGGAGGCTGAGGCAGGAGAATCGCTTGAGTCTGGGAGGTGGAGGTTGCAGTGAGCCGAGATGACACTACTGCACACCAGCCTGGGCAACAGAGTGAGACGCTGTCTCAAAAAAAAAAAAAAATTGTAGTATGCTTGATAAGCATTGGGTAAGCAGGATCCAACGCATCTCAATATTCAAATAATACATCTGAAAAAATAAGGCATACTGCAAAAATGTCAAAAAAGAAAAAAAAAGAATGCTGTTGTGGAGCTTGTTTGAAGTTTATGACATTCCATAAATTTAAGAGTTAACTTTCTATATAGTGCAACAAAAATGATTAAAATTGTTCACCCATACTTCCAATTCTTCAAATCCAGAAATGAGAGAGAAGAAGAGAATGAGAGATTTATTAATAGGTGCAGAATTTGATTCCTCTCCTTTAGCTCATAAACCGAGATCCACAGGACTGAGGTTAGAACTCTGGAATCTCCCATCCTGGGATCAGTCACCAGAGCCTAAGCCCTTCTCCATGCACTTGTTTCATATACATATTTGTTTCAGAAACACACACGCAATCGTGAAATTATGTTCTTGATCAAAAACATGTTTCAGTAAAAACAAAACATTTTTATAAAGATGTGGAAACTTAAAATGAGTTCATTGAGTCCCCAAGCACAAGGGAAGTGCAATGGGAAACATATTCTATTCATTTTTAACACTGTGTGAAGGAAAAGGAGGAAACTGCCATTGGTGCACATTTGTATAATCCATGACACCAGGATAATATTTTACAGACCTTTATAACAAAGCCATGGCATCAGGACTGTTCAGAGACTTGAGCCTTAATTCATACCAGTCACCGGAGCATATACTTTTACCCAAATTTCGTGTAGTAGCTAGAAGTTTAAAGTGGAAGGAAGAGAAGCCACTCTGTTCTAGGTATGTGGCAATCCAATGGTTGCCAAACAAACATGCTGGCAGGGAATAAATGATCTCCAAGGGATATGAGTGGCAGTAACTTAATGGGTAAACCAATCCTGCCCTTTGCCCCACATTTTGCTTCAAAATATTTTCTTCTTTCAAACATGTTTCCTTCTAGTCACCTTGTGACCTGCTGTTAATTAGCCTCTACCTCTGT